>NC_000012.12:32887065-33039760 GCF_000001405.40 Homo sapiens | reverse complement strand
TCAACTTATTCAACCAAAAACTGAAAACAATCCAAATGTTCAACAACACAATACAAAAACACATTGTGGTGTGTTTACACAACAGAAAACTGCTCAGCATATAAAGAAATTGCCTACTGACACTAAGAACATGAAAAAAAATCCAAAACATTATTCTAAGTAAAAGAAGCCCAACAGAGTATACACTGTATGAATTCATTTGCATGATGTTCTAGAATAGGCAAAACTAACATATGGTTAATAAAAAGTATAGGTTGCCTAAGCTGGGTTGTAGTGAAGGGTTGAATAAGATTTGGTGGGGTACTGCTCTAACAAATACCTAAAAATGTGGAAGTGTCTTAGAATTTGGCAGTAAAGAGAAGCTAGAAAACTACTGAGAAGGCAAGGGAAGAATAAAATAAAAGGATAATAGGATATGCAGCTGTCTTCTAACTGAAATGTTTATAACTGTTATCCTGTACTTATCTCACCATTGTATTTTTGGAGCAGATAACTTGTTTCTTGAGTGTTACAGGTACACAGATGGAGGGAAATTGTACTCCAGGATGGATTATACCAATGGCTTCACGCATACTAAATTTAGATGACTTAAATAATGACTTTGGACTTTTAAGATAATGAGATTTTATACCATGAATTGATGCAATAATTGAGAATTTGTGGGACCTTGGGATGGAGTGAAACTATTTTCTATGTGGGATTGATATGAATTTGGGACACATAGGGCAAACTGTGGTAAGAGGAATAATACCCCCTCCCAAAGGTGTCTATATCTTAATTCCTTCAACCTGTGAATCTGTTACCTTACATGGCAAAAGAGATTGCAAATATTATTAAGTAAAAGACCTTGGGATGAGGAGATTATTCTGGATAAAGTGGAGGCAGGGAAGGGTCCAATCTAGTCACATGGGTCTTTAAGAGTGGAAAACCTCTCCCAGCTATGAAAAAAGGGTGATGTGACTATGGAAAAAATGGTCAGAGAGATGCAACATTATTGGCTTTGGAGATGGAGAAAGGAAGGCATGAGCCACAGAACATGGGCAGCCTCTAGAAGCTGCAAAAAAATCGGGAAACAGATTCTCTCCTAGATCCTCAAGAAAGGAATGCCACCCTGCTGACCTCCTGATTTAGGCTCAGTGAGATGTGTGTTGGACTTCTGACCTATAAAACCATATGATAATAAATACGTGTTGTTTTAAGCCACTAGGTTTGTGGCAAATTGCTACAGTAACAATAGAAAATGACTACAGATTTTGGAACTTAAATATTAATCAGTATTGCTTGATGATATGCTGCTTTACTTATGATCCACTAATTCTTATTTTAAACACAATTATAACAAGTTTAATTCATTTCATACCTGGCCAATGATATTTGAGATGTCAAATAATGCATTATGTGTCCGATTTATGTAGGAAAGTTTAGCATTCCTATCAGTGAACCCATATGCAAGGAATAAGCCATGGGCCTCTATGAAAACAGTGGCCAACAGAAATGTTTATATATTTTAGGTTAAAATAAAATATATATTGTATGTATATAACATTTTTACAAGGCCTATTTTAACAATTTTTAATTAATAATCAACCATCTTGCCTAATATTAGACAAAAAGGACTTCCACTGAATTACTGGAATCAGCTATACTGACAATAGCAAAAAAGCAAAGTTGAAGATCTAAGAATGGGGGAAAAGGGCAATGGAAAATCTTTAAATAATATCCTCAAAATATTAATACACTCAAAGCATAGAAGTCAGGCAAATGGGTTGTTGGAGCACCTGGTTGTATTACTGCATTTCCATGTGATGCAACAACTGACTTTTGTAATAATAAACCTGAGTTGCAAAAACCAAAAACAAAAATTGAGCTAGGGCTTTCCTATATACTAAAGAAACAGAAATACAGTTCTAAGAGATTTTCAGTAAAACAAGCAAAATAAATAAATGTTGATGCTTCAAAGATATTTGATTATTAGATAATTTTCATAAAAATTCTGAAAATGAAAAATAACTAGAAAATATTTGTATCAGCTATTGACAATACAACCTCAGTGCCAGAATGAGACTTTGCCTTCATATTTGCAATTGCAAGATGCTTAGAATCAATTTCTGAGCTTATTTTTCCATAAACTGCACCCCACCCCCCAAAAAAAGCCATCTTTACTTTTACAAAAGAATATTTGTAGACTTGAAGTAACACATTTTTCAAACCCATATTTTACACTAAGAGAAACTAGCATAATATGTCAGTGAATATTTGTTAAGGGGTTTTGTAGACATTAATAATTATTTTTTAATTATTTTCTTTTCTTCTCAGTTTTAATAGAATTCATTGAAAGCTTTTAACCTCTCTGGAATATTTCAACTATATTGAAGTTATTTGTTATTCTGGGTTTTAATGTCATGTTTCTTCTTGTAAAACAATGATTTTGTCATTTGTTACTTTTATATCATTCTCTATTGAATCTAGACTGAGAGAGGCATGGAACAGCAGGCTGTCTATCACAAACAATTATATAAAAGATTTTGAGAAATGGGATTTGCAGACCTTCGAAAAAGAAAACCCTAAACAAGAAGGTTAAAACACTAATTCTGTCAACTTCTGTTGATTTCTAAGAGTCAAGTTAACCACTTCAGGACTGATTACACTCCTTTCCAATTCTCTGAATATATTACAAGTAAAGAGAGGAAAATGAAATAATAATTGCTGTTCCTTTTTAAAGAACACAAATAGAAAACTTGGGTGATTACTCCATTGAAATGGCAAGAGACAAAGAGAGAGTGGGACAGGGAGCGACCCATGCTACCATCATGAATCTAATTTCCTAACACATACCTAAAGAATCCATGTATTTATTCTTTCATGTTGCTGATGATAACAACCTAACTCTGGTCATCAGTTCCCCACTCAATACATTGTCAGAAATTTTCTCCTGAGATGGAAATGCACCCCAAACATTGTAAAAGAATAGACACACATTAAATTATAAGGTCATGTAGTGCAGCATAAAGAACATTGACTTTGGAATGTCAATGGGTTTGAATCTCAATCCCAGTTCCTATTAGTTATGTGAACATAAGCAAGTTCCTTAATTCCTGTGTCTTTTTCTTTTTCTGTGAAAGAGCTATAATAATATGACTAGAACTTAGATTTGCATGATTTAATTAGATGATTTGCAAGAAGATGGGACTCAGTGTACTTTGCAATATGTTTTATCTCCTCCAATTCATTTCTTCCAGCTCTTCAACAGTCAAAATCTGTGAGAATCATGTTCTTCATGATATAAAGGGTAACATGAAAAAAGCACTGCAACCCAAAACTTCTAACGTGTTTGACACTTTGTTTAATTTAAATGTTAAATAATAGAAATGTTTAATATAATGTTAAATATAGAATTCATTTTTAATAACTTCAATTGGAGTATGGAAAATATAGATTATTCTTTAAAAGCTTACAACTTTGGTATTTAGCAGATTATCATATATTAAAGTTATAAAGCATTTGTCTTTATTTTTGATTTTAGCAAGATCCTCTTCAAAAGTCATGTTAAGTTTGAGTCTCTTATGTTAAGATAAGGTCATTGAAGTGAATACCAACAGAAAACAAAGTATAGGAAATTAGGAATCATGAAAAAAGACAAGAAAATTTGGTATTCTATGGCCTATAAAGTATATGATGCAAAGGTAATATGTAGCTATTTCCATTCTATTTCCACTTTAAATTACTAACTTTTGTGGATTCAATAAGTTAATATTATTTTTACTCATTTCTCCTCTAATTTCCTAAGAGTTCAACATGAAGGTTTTTAAGCCAAAGCATTAACTTTCTTCCCCAATCAAGGAAGATTGGAGATGTGTTACTACAAACACAGGGAGAAAAGTCTACTTGATATCCACCAAAGCAAGAGGTTGGGTGATTTTTCATACATTTTTGATTATCTAAGCCATGGGTTCATGGACAACTTAAGGCTGCTCTGCTCCAGTGAAGATATATTCCTGGTATTAAATAAATACCCTTTGACTACAGGACGAAGTATAAGTTACTTATAAAGAAGATATTTCTAAATTGAATGCCCTATCAAAGAAGATTTTTTTACTTTTGCCTAGAATTCTTTAAGAAAATGATAGCTAGCCATGTTTCTTATTTATTTCATTCTAGACCTGGTTGTATGAGGCAAACTGGACAAATGTTCGTAAACAGAACTCTCTAGTTATATAACTTACAGAGCTTGGGGATCATGGTGGATGGGAGGCAGGACTAGATTGCAGCTATGGACAGAGCAGTATGCAGAGGCTAGCACTGAATTTTTAGCTCCATATCAACTGCAAGAAAAAAAAAAAGCCATCCTGAGAGGACCCACAGACCCTCTGAAGGAAATGGACTGCTCCTGTAGGACCCAGGAGACACCCCAAATACTCTGGGAGGTGGAAAGCCTGGGGCAAGTTTTCAAGCCCATCTCGCCCTCTGCCTGGAAACAGACTTGGGTCTGTTGCGAGGGGCACAGTGGGAGTGAGACCTGCCCCTCCATTTGCGTGGGAGCTGGGTAAGGCCTGTGACTGATGCCTTTCTCCCACTTCCCTGACAACCTGCATGACTCAGCAGAGGCAACCATAATCCTCCTAGCTACACAACTCCAGTGACCTGGAAATCTCACCCCCATCCCCAACAGCAGCCCTAGCAAGACCTGCCCAAAGAGATTCTGAGTCCAGACATACCTAGTCCCACCCCTACCTGATGGGCCTTCCCTACCCACCCTGATAGCAGAAAACAAAGGGTATATACTCTTGGGAGTTCTAGGGCCCTGCCCACCGCTGGTCCCTCTCCACACTATCACAGCTGATCCTTTCTGGAAAGCACCACTCCTTGACAGGAGGCCAACCAGCACAAAAATAGAGCATTAAACCACCAAAGCTAAGGACCCTCATGGATTCCATTGTACCTTCCACCACCCTCCCTGGAACCGGCACTGGTATCCATGGCTGAGAGACCCATAAACAGTTTACATCACAGGACTCTGTGCAGACAACCCCCAATACCAGCCTAGAGCTGGGTAGACTTGCTGGGTGGCTAGACCCAGAAGAGAGACAACAATCACTGCAGTTTGGCTCACAGGAAGCCATAGCCACAGGAAAAGGGGAAGAGTACTACATCAAGGGAACACCTGTGGGACAAAAAAATCTGAACAATAGACTTCAAACCTAGACCTTCCCTCTGGCAGAGCCTACCCAGATGAAAAGGAACTAAAAAACCAACTCTGGTAATATTGAGAAGCGACAGCATTCTGGCAGTCCTCACAGCCCTCGCTCGCTCTTGGCGCCTCCTCTGCCTGGGCTCCCACTTTGGCAGCATTTGAGGAGCCCTTCAGCCCACCGCTGCACTGTGGGAGCCCCTTTCTGGGCTGACCAAGGCCAGAGCTGGCTCCCTCAGCTTGCAGGGAGGTGTGGAGAGAGAGGCGCCAGCGGGAACCAGGGCTGCGCGGGGTGCTTGCAGGCCAGCTGGAGTTCCAGGTGGGTGTGGGCTTGGCAGGCCCCACACTCGGAGCAGCCGGCCGGCCCTGCCGGCTCCGGGCAATGAGGGACTTAGCACCCAGGCCAGCGGCTGTGGAGGGTGTACTCGGTCCCCCAGCAGTGCCAGCCCACCGGCGCTGCGCTCGATTTCTCACCTGGCCTTAGCTGCCTTCCCGTGGGGCTGGGCTTGGGACCTGCAGCCCACCATACCTGAGCCTCCCACCCCCTCCGTGGGCTCCTGTGCAGCCCGAGCCTCCCTGACGAGTGCTGCCCCCTGCCCCACGGCGCCCAGTCCCATTGACCACCCAAGGGCTGAGGAGTGCGAGCGCACGGTGCAGGACTGGCAGGCAGCTCCACCTGCAGCCCCGGTGCGGGATCCACTGGGTGAAGCCAGCTGGGCTCCTGAGTCTGGTGGGGACACGGAGAACCTTTATGTCTAGCTCAGGGATTGTAAATACACCAGTCAGCACTCTGTATCTAGCTCAAGGTTTGTAAACACACCAATCAGCACCTTGTGTCTCGTTCAGGGTTTGTGAATGCACCAATCGACACTCTGAATCTAGCTACTCTGGTGGGGACTTGGAGAACCTTTGTGTGGACACTCTGTATCTAGCTAGTCTAGTGGGGATGTGGAGAACCTTTGTGTCTAGCTCAGGGATTGTAAACGCACCAATCAGCGCCCTGTCAAAACAGACCACTGGGCTCTACCAATCAGCAGGATGTGGGTGGGGCCAGATAAGAGAATAAAAGCAGGCTGCCCAAGCCAGCAGTGGCAACCCAACTTGGGTCCCCTTCCACACTGTGGAAGCTTTGTTCTTTCGCTCTTTGCAATAAATCTTACTACTGCCCACTCTTTGGATCCACACTGCCTTTATGAGCTGTAATCTCTGGGAAGGTCTGCAGCTTCACTCCTGAAGCCAGCGAGAACACGAACCCACCAGGAGGAACAAACAACTCCAGACACACCGCCTTAAGAGCTGTAACACTCACTGTGAAGGTCTGCAGCTTTACTGCTGAGCCAGCGAGACCATGAACCCACCAGAAGGAAGAAACTCCAAACACATCCGAATGTCAGAAGGAACAAACTCCAGACATGCCACCTTAAGAGCTGCAACACTCACCACGAGGGTCCGCGGCTTCATTCTTGAAGTCAGTGAGACCAAGAACCCACACAATATGACAAAACAAGGTTCATCAACACCTTCCAAAAACCACACTAATTCACCAGCAATTGATCCAAACCAAGAAGAAATCCCTGATTTACCTGAAAAAGAATTCAGGAGGTTAGTTGTTAAGCTAATCAGGGAGAGACCAGAGAAAGGTGAAGCCCAGTGAAAGGAAATCCAAAAAATGATACAAGAATTAAAGGGAGAAATATTCAAGGTAATAGATAGCTTAAAGAAAAAGCAATCAAAAATTCAGGAAACTGTGGACACACTTTTAGAAATGTAAAATGCTCTGAAGTCTCAACAATAGAATTGAACAAGTAGAAGAAAGAAATTCAGAGCTTGAAGACAAGGTCTTCAAATTAACTCAATCCAACACAAACAAAGAAAAAAGAATAAGAAAATATGAACAAAGAGGCCAGGTGTGGTGGCTCATGCCTGTAATCCCAACACTTTGGGAGGCTGAGGCAAGTGGATCATGAGGTCAGGAGTTTGAGACCAGACTGACCAACATGGTGTAACACTGTCTCTACTAAAAATACAAAAATTAGCTGGGTGTGGTGGCACGCACCTGTAATCCCAGCTACTCAAGAGGCTGAGGCAGGAGAATTGCTTGAACCCAGGAAGTGGAGGTTGCAGTGAGCTGAGATTGCACCATTGCACTCCAACCTGGGCAACAGAGTGAGACTCCATCAAAAAAAAAAAGAAAGAAAAGAAAGAAAGATACCTCCAAGAAGTCTAGGATTATGTTAAACAGCCAAACCTAAGAATAATCAGTGTTTCTGAGGAAGAAGACCAATCTAAAAGCTTGGAAAATATATTTGGGGGAATAATCGAGGAAAACTTCCCCAGCCTTGCTAGAGACTTAGACATGCAAATACAAGAAGCACAAAGAACACCTGGGAAATTCATCACAAAAAGATCTGCACCTAGGCACATTGTCATCAGGTTATCCAAAGTTAAGATGAAGGAAAGAATCTTAAGAGCTGTGAAACAGAAGCACCAGGTAACCTATAAAGGAAAACCTATCAGATTAACAGCAGATTTTTCAGCAGAAACCCTACAAGCTAGAAGGGATTAGGGCCCATCTTCAGCCTCCTCAAACAAAACAATTGTCAGCCAAGAATTTTGTATCCAGTGAAACTAAGCATCATATATGAAGGAAAGATAGTCATTTTCAGACAAACAAATGCTGAAAGAATTCACCATTACCAAGCCAACACTACAAGAACTGCTAAAAGGAGCTCTAAATCTTGAAAAAAAATCCTGGAAACACATCAAAACAGAACCTCCTTAAAGCATAAATCACACAGGACCTATAAAACAAAAACACAAGGGAAAAGAAAAAAAACGTACACAGGTAACTTACAGAACTTAAGATGCTCAAAATTTCTAGTCCCTTTTTAATCTCCATACGGGAAAGGAACATCTTCTGCCTTAAAATTTGCCACTCTGCAAGATATCTTCATATTGATAGAATCTCATATTTTCACTTACATTTTAGAAAAAAATCTGACAAAGGAGAAAAAGAAAGAGAAAGAGTAAAGCATGGAAGAAAGAAAGATAGGGTACAATTATCTGCTTCCCTTATTCAGCTGCACTTTCCAACGTGATCTTTCATTCTATGAAGTTAAATTAAGAGCTGTGCCTCTCTTGCCTTCTTTAGCAGAACAAGTACCTAGAAAAGCAGTTCCTTTGGTCGTAAATGTTATTTGTATGTTTTGTTAGAACTTCTTTTTCACCAAACAAAAATAAGTTCTGACCCTTTTCCAGTTGCCAAGAGAGGCAGCCTGATAAATATCTACCTTCTCAGATTGATTCTCAGATCCATTGTTTACAGTGGTTATTTCAGCCTCATGGGGTCCACCACTTGAGAAGACAAATATCTTTTCTTTTCAAACATGCAGTGGAACATAAGCTTTGTGATGGCTGTTGGTTTTCCCTTCATAATAACAAAATTGTTTCTAAAAATGCTATTTTTGATTCAGTACAGTCACCCAAGACATGGACCTGTTGTGTTTTCTATTTGTCCCCAAAGGTTTCATTATACTTTATAATTGCATTGGTGCACCACAGTTATTGGTTAACCCAATTCCATCTTGAGCAAGAAAACAAAATCGTCAATTGCTTGCTTAACCTTTTTCTTCCACATCGGTACCATCCTTTCATCCACATTCAAGGGAGCCTAATTTAATTGTGTTTCAATTGAAGACATTGGAGCTTTCTAAGAGATCCGGTTAAAATGTTCCTATTAAATCTAAGCCCTTGGCCCACCTTACTCCAGTGTTTTATCTCACACCACCCCTCCTCCTTGTTCCCTATATTCACAATAGCAATCATGATAGAAGCAGTTTGCACTTTTGTTTCATTCCATCCTTAATCAAGACTATTAGTTGCAACTGACAAAATCTATTTCAAACAAGCATAAACAAGCAAGGGGAATGTATTGGATTAGGTTATCTCACAAAACCCAAGAGCAAGAGATGAAGCCTGGCCCCAGAAGAGACAAGAGTCAAACAAGAAGAAAAGAAAAACAATAACCCTGATCACCACTCTCTCCATTTTGCCTCTAATTATGGACTCCTTTCATCTTTCTTTCTCTTCATACCTGGCATCATGGAATCAGGCCACACATGGCCCTCAGCTGCCTCATCTTTGGGGCACAAGACCAGCTGGTATTTTTTAAATCAAATTCTGAATTCTGACAAGTAAAAACCTTACAGACCCATCTTGGGTCAATTATACACCCCAATCCTTTGACTGTGACCAAGGATTCAAACTTGCATAGTTGAAACATAGCTTCAGGTCTCATTCTAGAGGCACAGAAGGTTGTCAGAGAAATAGATAGGTGCTGGACAGATTTCCCAAAATGCTCCTACTGCTAGGATATAGGTTTTGATGAACTAGCCCCATTTAAAATATGTGAAAAGTAAAGCACATTTTATATAATGATCTTGTCTTAAAAGACTGGGGTTTGAGCCTTTGCCCTGGCACTAACAAGATTTTTGAACTAAAACAAGTCAAAATCACATCAAACTATATAATTTACAAGGTTCCTTTCAGCATTGAATACAGTACTTCTGTCTTCATCTTTAATAATAAGTGCTCCTGTATGAATACTATTTTAGAGCTTTATATTATTAGCTAACTTTCCCTGAAAGTTACCCTGGGCCAGGCACTATTCTAAAAGCTTTACATGTATTAACTACAGTACAATTCTGACACTAACTACCCAGAAGTAGATCAAACTTCACAGAGTAAGGACACAGTCCCCCATAAGACTGCTCTCACTTTAGACACCAGCTGCAAACAAAGGATTTCCAGGCCCCCCAAGCCACTTCTGGCCAATTAGACACAATTTTGGCTCCCACTACCCCCTCAGGTTTCATAATTCTCAAAACAACTCACAGAACTAAGGAAGACACTACACTTAAGATTACAGATTTATCACAAAAAATGCAAATCAGGGCCAGCCAAAATAAAGACACATAGGGTAAGGTCTGGTAGGGTCCTCAATGTGAAGCTTTTGAGTGATCAGAATGCATCACCTTGCTGCCATATCAGTGTATGAACATTAACCAGGGAAGCTCATCCAAGTTTTGGGTGTCCAGAGTTTTTATTGGGGTTTCTTTTTATCCCTGTGATTGACTGGCTCATTGGCCACACGAATGGCTCAATCTCCAGCCCTCCTCCCCTCCCTACTCTAACCCCCTAATCACATAGTTGGTCTTTGGCATAATCAGTCCCCATCCTGAAACTACCCAGAGACCCACCATGTGTCACCTTGTTAGCAGAAACTCAGGTGTGGTCCCATTCTTATCACTCGAGAAATTCCAAGGGTTTAGAGACTCTGTACCAGGAATCAGGGACAAAGGCCAGCTAAGTTCTTTATTATACAACATTAACTCATGTAATTATCATAACAACATTTTGAGGTATGAACAATCATTTTCATAATTATGCAGGGCAGAGGATGGTTAAGTGACTTACCCAAAGTCCACACAGCTAGTGAATGGACAACAGACTTGATTTCAGGCTCTAGGCTTTTAATATATACTTTCTCCTTCAGTAGTTTTGTCCTTGTTTAGAAATCTGATCAGAAGCTACATGTCCCAAGCCATAGATACATAAATAATTCTCCTCTGACTTTTTTTTTTTTTTGAGATGGAGTCTCACTCTGTCACCCAGGCTGGAGTGCAGTGGTGAGATCTCAGCTCACTGCAACCTCAATCTCCTGGGTTCAAGGGGTTCTCCTGCCCCAGTCTCCCAAGTAGCTAAGATTAGAGCCATGTGCCACCACGCCTGGCTAATTTTTGTATTTTTAGTAGAGATGAGTTTCACCATGTTGGCCAGGCTGTTCTTGAACTCCTGACCTCAAGTGATCTGCCCGCCTCGCCCTCCCAAAGTGCTGGGATTAAAGTAATGAGCCACTGTGTCCAGCCCCTTTTCTCTGACTTTCTATATCATACTTTTCAACTTAAAGATAATGACATTCAAGTGTTTATGTTTTCAAAAGAAAAACATACCTTAAATTAGTGCTGTTTCTCATCTTTTTTAAAAAAAAAAAAAGCAACTGAGTCATAAATTTTTGGAAAATGTGAAGATTTGATAGCTTCACAGCCATTATCTTCCAAGTGATTAAGTACAGAGACTGTAGGAAAATGTGGAGAATGTGCTAGACACCTTTACACAATTACTATAATATTGGTCTTGGTCAGAGTAATTAATTCTAGTCATTGCAATAAACAGCCCCAAATCTCAGTGACTTAAAACAGCATAGGTTTATTTTCCATTCGCATAAAGTCCAGCAAAGCCCGGGCAGCCCTGCAGGGCAGCATTCCTCCAGCTAAAACTCAGGGATCCCAGCTCCTTCTATCATATGATCAAGCCATCTTTGAGCCCTTTACTTCCAAGCCCACAAATAAGAGAGGGAAAGACAGATAAATAGAGAGCAAGTGAGAGAGAGAGATTAGGGAATGCGTACCAGATACTTAACCTGCTTAACTCAGAAGTGGCATATATCACTTCATAACATATTCTATTCTTCCGAACTTGTCACATGGCCAATTTAATTGCAAAGGAGGCTAGAAAATGGAGAAGTAACACAAGGACATCATTCAGTGGCATTGATAGTCCCTGCCACACTCTGCCTTTTAGTCACTAAGTACTCATTTGCTCCCTCCTTCCCACTTGCAGAAAACACCTCTCCTCAGGAAGGCAACCCAAAGACTCAGCCAGGTTAATTCAGCATCCAGTGTTCATTGACTAGCTGTATGGACTTCAGGCATGTTGCTTATCCACTCTCTGCTCTGTAAAATTGAGGAAATCATTATTCATACCTCAAAGAGTGGTTATAAGAATCCAGTCTCTAAGTCTTATCCATCAGATCCAGATATGGAGCTTCCTGGTGTTTGCCACAAACTAAAATGCAGGTTCTACCCCCTCCAGACACATGCTCAGGATATGATGGTAGTACAGGGTCAAGACACTGGCACCTGACACCCCTACAGAAAGGGGAAGAATTGGAAACAGAGCAGTCACTCACCAACAGCAATTCTGAATTCTCAAGAGAAGACACTGTGAAGTCTCTCTGCCCTGGCAGGACAGAAACTTTCACACTCTGCCATTGCTGCCTTCTGCAAGGATCTGCTTTGCCCCTTGTTCTTTTTGACCTGTGCTGTACCCTATAGGAGCTCCCCTTATCTTTTTAGACTGCACCTGAAATGAATAGTGATGAGGATGCCCATCTTCGGAGCTGTTTCGTTGTCAAAGGTACCTTCTGTTTATAGAATGCTGGAGACAAAATAACGAAATCCTGAACAGTAAAAGGCTTTTTATTATAGGTTCTGGGTTTCTTTGGCAATTTAATTCCTGCAAAAGCCTAGTAGGCTTCTTAGCTCTGATTGCACTTAGTTCCATGTGATGGTAGCCATACTCAAAGTTTATACT
Source organism: Homo sapiens (assembly GCF_000001405.40). NCBI lineage: Eukaryota > Metazoa > Chordata > Mammalia > Primates > Hominidae > Homo > Homo sapiens. Next base: position 33,027,138 of record NC_000012.12, on the reverse strand, counting down.
AGATATAATTCTCAGCCTCATTTATTTTATTTATTCCTTCCCCCTACCCCAGTTTCCCAGCATGTCTCTTACCAATTTCACTGTGATTTTGTGAGACTACATAGCACAGTGGATGGGAAGACCACATCCTTAGTCCTCTCTTTATGCTGAGTCATTTAATTAATGTGGAAAGTTTGTAGGACTACTGTTTCTCTTACTGACAGGATCTAGAAGCAATTAGCCTTCCATACTTGCAGACCCTGAATTACTGAACTCTCTTTATTCCCCTCACCCTTTGTAAAACAACTTTATCAAAGTACAATTGACAAACAATAAATTGCACATATTTAAAGCATACAATTTGATAAGATTTGGTATGTGTCGAATCTTCTCAAATTGTACATTTTAAGTATTTATTGACCTTCATTAATCTATCATCACAATAAATATAATGAATTGGGCTTCATCAAAATTTAAAACTTCTGCTTCTTAACCAAAATTAGAGACTGAAGCAACAGTCTCAGTCAGTCGAGGTTTATTGAGCCAAAGCTTGAGGGTATGCCCAGAAAAAATACAAGTCACAAAAACGTCTGTGGCCTTTGGTGTCTGAAGAGGTTTGTAGCAGGGTCAGTGTTTATACATTTCTTTGAGGGGGAGAAGACATGTAGAAAGTGGGTGGAGTGGTAGGGCATGAGGCAAATGGTTACATTTTTGTGATACTTTAATTAGTGTCCAGTAAATCTGCATTTTACATACGATAAGGTAAACATTCAAGGAAAAAGGGAGTAAAAGAATCAATTATGCAGGTGTCTCCGGTAGGTGGAGGAAAGATTGAGCTCATCTTGTCTTTGTTCTGCACCTGGGAAGATAAGCTTGTAATTGACATTATCAGTGTGAAATCTAACAAACTTTAGTTTTAGGAGCTAGACTTAAATTGAGAGTTAAAAGTACAATTGACCATCCTTATTTTATGGGAGGATGTACATCTTGAAAGGTTTCAAGGCCAGCAAATAGTTTACTTATGAACAATTTGCGAGGATAGTCATCCAGAGATACCTGAGGCCTTCTTTCTGTCGAGGCCTGGCTAATGTATGGCTCTGATACAAGATTGCGAAGTAACAGCTGTTCATTTGGGAAAAGGATGGTGGTGTTATGTGATTCGGTCTCCAGGTTTAACTTTCCCTTTGGTGTAATGAGTTTGGGAGTCCTGAGATTTTTTTATTTTCCTTTCCATGCTCTTCAGAACACACAGAATATTTTGAGAATGTGCTCAGTCTGTGGCTTCTCTTTCCATTCTCTTAACATTCAACCATAAACATTCCACATTCAAACACTGTGTGTAAATGTTAAGAGAATGGAAAGAAAAGCCACAGACAGGGAGAAAATATTTGGAAATTATATATCTCATCTGGACACTTTATATGTGTCTGGAACATAAAGAACTCTCAAAGCTTGATAACAGAAAACAAACAACCCAAGTTTTTTTAATGGGCAAAAGATTTGAACAGACATTCCTTCAAAGAAAATAAAGATAGAAAATAAGCACACAAAAAGGTGATCAAGATCATTAATTCTTTGGGAAAGGCAAACTGAAAGCACGGTGAAATACTACTATAACTTACTAGAAGAGCTAAAGTTTAAAAGACTGACCATATCAAGTGTTGGCACAAGTGTACAGCAAGAAATATGTAGATGCTCAGCCAATATTGCATACCTACAAAGCTCCCACTCCTGCTACTAATTTGTTTTGGTCAGCTATTTTGCTGCTATTAAAAAACAACCTCCAACTCTCAGTGGCTAATAGTAAAAATTTAGTTCTCATTTGCACAAAGTCCTGTGTGGTCTAGTGGCACTCCTGAATGTAGTCCATTAGCTTTCCTCTACTACTGACTAACGAATTAGAGTTCTTTCCACTACCTGGCTTCATTATCCTACAGTCTTTTCTTCCTGAATATATGGACAGAGGAGAGAGAGGGGGACAAAAATATCATTTAGCAAATGACCTTGTTCTATAAATGGCACAATCACTTCTACTTACATTCTATTCTCCAGAACAAATCACATGGCAAGCCTAAATTATTTTCTAGTACAAGTAGTTGACAATCACTTGCCTCATATATTTTCTCTGCCTATGCTCTGGAGTCTATCTCTATTATTCAAAGGACCCTCTCATAAAATTCAGCCATTCTGACTCAATTCTCACCTACTCAATTTTGCACTCTTCATGACTCCCTCTTCCTAGAGCACACCTCACTTTTTGATTCTTTCCTGTCGTAGTATGTTTTGTGTTGCCATAAAGGAATACCTGAGGCTGGGTAATTTATAAGGAAAAGAGGTTTCTTTCCCTCATAATTTCGCAGGCTGTACAAGAAGCATGGCACCAGCACTTGCCTCTGGTGAGAACCTCAGGAAACTTCCAATCACAGTGGAAGGGTCAGGGGAGCCGGCATGTCACATGGTGAGAGAGGGAGCAAGAGGAAGGGGTGCCATGCTCTTTTAAACAATCAGCTATCGAGTGAACTAATAGAGTAAAAAATCACTCATTACCTCACGAAGGGCACCAAGCCATTTATGAGGGATCTGACCCCATGACCCAAACACCTCCCAATATGCCCCACCTCCAACATTGGGGGATCACATTTCAACATGAGCTTTTGATGGGGACAAACTTCCAAACTATATCATCCCCCTATCCTTCTGGCATAATCTCACCATAGTACATTTCTCCCCAGTACTCCTAACAATGCCCCAGCTCTTGGCTCTGTATTCCTCTCCATTACATGGTGTTATCATCATTACTAATTTTTCTCTAAGGCAATTAACACCAAAATAATTCACTGTTTCTATAAATGTTCTCTCATTGCTAGAGTGTTGGAATTCTGGAGCTACAAAGATTAAACCAGCTAAACATAGAATGAGAGATGTATGAGAAGTGAAGGGCCTTCTGTTACTACAACCTCTCATTTTTAAGGTAAGTCACAATAGTCCACAACTTGACCAAGATCGCATTGCTGCTAGCTGCGAGCAAAACTGACGCTAGAACCCCATTCTCCAATATTGTATGCACTGTACTGGGCTGATCGCTTGTTTTTCCCCAATGTTCCCACTAGTTTTTCAATTTGCTCATCATAAATCTCTTAAAAACTCTGTAGGGTTATCTCCTCTGTTGGGGAGATAGCTAAAGATATAAATCTTCCACAGAGAAAAGGCATCTGCATAAGGCAAATATTGTTAATTAAAAATAAACAGTCTAAGTAAACATCAAGGTTTTAAAAATCAAAGTACAAGCAAATATTGTTGATTATGAAGTTTTTAGTTTATTTTTCTTCTAAGGTGAAACTTTCATTCCTTTACCTCATTTAAAATTTTAATTTACAATTTTTAAACATTTTAGGACTATGAAAGTATGACAAGCCATTTTAGTAGTAAATGGAACCCTCTTCTGATAAGCAAATTTAACCAGTTTTTTTTAAAACATAAGAATCGTCTCTTGGTCCCCCTCCCCCTCCCCCTCCCCCTCTCTCTCTCCTTCTCCCCTTTCCACGGTCTCCCTCTGATGCCCAGCCGAAGCTAGACTGTACTGCCGCCATCTCTGCTCACTGCAACCTCCCTGCCTGATTCTCCTGCCTCAACCTGCCGAGTGCCTGCGATTGCAGGCGTGCGCCGCCACGCCTGACGGGTTTTCATATTTTTTTGGTGGAGACGGGGTTTCGCTGTGTTGGCCGGACTGGTCTCCAGCTCCCAACCGGGAGTGATCTGCCAGCCTCGGCCCCCCGAGGTGCCGGGATTGCAGATGGAGTCTCATTCACTCAGTGCTCAATGTTGCCCAGGCTGGAGTGCAGTGGCGTGATCTCGGCTCGCTACAACCTCCACCTCCCAGCCGCCTGCCTTGGCCTCCCAAAGTGCCGAGATTGCAGCCTCTGCCCGGCCACCACCCCGTCTGGGAAGTGAGGAGCATCTCTGCCTTGCCGCCCAGTCTGGGAAGTGAGGAGCGCCTCTTCCCCGCCGCCATCCCGTCTAGGAAGTGAGGAGCGTCTCTGCCCAGCCTCCCATCGTCTGAGATGTGGGGAGCGCCACTGCCCCGCTGCCCCGTTTGGGATGTGAGGAGCGCCTCTGCCCGGCCACGACCCCGTCTGGGAGGTGAGGAGCGTCTCTGCCCGGCCGCCCCATCTGAGAAGTGAGGAGCCCCTCCGCCTGGCAGCCACCCCATCTGGGAAGTGAGGAGTGTCTCCACCCAGCAGCCACCCCGTCCAGGAAGTGGGGGGTCAGCCCCCACCCTGCCAGCCGCCCCGTCCGGGAGGGAGGTGGGGGCCAGCCCCTGCCCGGCCAGCCACCCCATCTGGGAGGGAGGTGGGGGGCCAGCTCCCGCCCGGCCAGCCACCCCATCCAGGAGGTGGGGGGCGCCTCTGCCTGGCCACCCCTTCTGGGAAGTGAGGAGCCCCTCTGCCCAGCCACCACCCCGTCTGGGAGGTGTACCCAACAGCTCATTGAGAACAGGCCATGATGACGTGGTGGTTTTGTCGAATAGAAAAGGGGGAAATGTGGGGATAAGATAGAGAAATCAGATTGTTGCTGTGTCTGTGTAGAAAGAAGTAGACACAGGAGACTCCATTTTGTTCTGTACTAAGAAAAATTCTTCTGCCTTGGGATGCTGTTGATCTATGACCTTACCCCCAACCCGGTGCTCTCTGAAACATGTGCTGTGTCCACTCAGGGTTAAATGGATTAAGGGCGGTGCAAGATGTGCTTTGTTAAACAGATGCTTGAAGGCAACATGCTCGTTAAGAGTCATCACCACTCCCTAATCTCAAGTACCCAGGGACACAAACACTGCGGAAGGTCGCAGGGTCCTCTGCCTAGGAAAACCAGAGACCTTTGTTCACTTGTTTATCTGCTGACCTTCCCTCCACTATTGTCCTATGACCCTGCCAAATCCCCCTCTGCGAGAAACACCCAAGAATGATCAATGAAAAAATAAATAAATAATAAAAAAAAAAGAATCATCTCTTGGAGTGTTATTAATTGGGCTTTGATTAGTGGATGTTATTTAGCTTCATTAGTTGTGCTCATCTTTATTATTGATAATGGAAAATTAGTGCCATTCATTTCTTCTCTGAAGGCAGCTATTCCAGAGAAGTGGGCAACAGGAAAACAACTATCCAATTGAGATTTTCCATGAATTAACAGATCAGAAGTTTGATACAGATAAGTTTCCAAGCTCCCAAAATCTTATGTGCTTTTTATAGACATCAGGAGTTGCCATGATCATGACACTCTGTTGGTGTTTTTGCTCCTCTTGTATTCAGCAATTGTATTCTGGAGACACACAGAATGTTGTTAATCCCAAGCAATGTATTCTACTATTTTTGAAGGCTTCTTTATACTATCTCTACCCAAATATCTTCTGTCAACAGTAATGGGAGAAAGAAAGGAAGGGAAGGGAAGGGAAGGGAATAGGGGAGAGAGAGAGAGAGAGAGAGAGAAGGAAGGAAGGAAGGAAGGAAGGAAGGAAGGAAGGAAGGAAAGAAAGAAAGAAAGAAAGAAAGAAAGAAAGAAAGAAAGAAAGAAAGAAAGAAAGAAGGAAAATCTAGAAAGGATTCACTTTCTAGCCACATACTGAGCAAGGTGAATGAGTCAGAGGGACATGGCCTGAGGGAGGACAGGTGTGGAAAACAGGTTTAGCCATTGGAAATGTGTACTAATATATCCTTATCATCAGAAATAAAATGCAACCTTTTGTTTTTTGGAGCTTCAGGTCAGCCAGTTGCTGGAAAGACCCAATTCAACTGAATTGAGGCACAGCATAGCAAACCAATATTTTGTAATAATGATAGAGGCAGGAGACAGCCACATGCCTAGGCAGATAAGGAAGGGTCCCCAGCAAAACCCTACCTTCAAGCTTAAAACAGCCTGAAGGCTAAAAGACCAAACTGCTGGTCCCAGACGAAAACCTGTGACTCAGAGGGAGAACTGCCCTATTTGCCTGCCCTTTCCTGATCGATTATTTCTGGATAATGCCTTTTTTCAATCAAATGTTGCCTTTTCTGATACTACCAACGGCTTCCCTGGGCATGCCCATATGCACACTGAGGGGAACAGGGCAGAGCTGCCAGGAATCTGCACCTTATGCTGGGGAGGAGTCTAGCTTTTTCAGCTCCTGTGTGGAAGTCTTGGGACTCCACTGGGAGGTGAGAACCTGCTGACGGGACCCTACTCTTTGTTGAGCGCTCCCCTTTCACTTAATAAATTCTACTCCACTCATGCTTTGATGTCCATGTAACTAATTCTTCCTGGTCATGAGACAAGAACCCAGATTTAGCTGAACTAAGGAGCAAAAAAATCCTGTATCAATAAGATAATATATGGACTTTCTTATGCTATGCAAGAAATAGGAGAATCTAATAAAAACTAATTAAACACAAAATTATAATATTATATTATAAAATTCTAAGTCTTATAAAAAGGGGAATTGAGAATGGCAAGGTCAATATGAAGGGTGGGGAATTGGCCAAGAGATTATCTGAAAAAAAATTACTCCAAAGAGTATGTAAATGATGTAAATATAGAAAGGACAGTAAAAATATTCTCAGTTACTGAGAACATCATTAATTTGGGCTTTATGGATAAGAAACATTTCTTATGTGAACAATTAGTCAAGCAAAGCTGAGTAAATAAGACCAAAGAGAACATTTGAGTAATAAGCGTAACCACCCATGGGGTTCTTCCTGCCCACTGCATAAAGAAAGACCATGGCATTGTAGCACAGAAAGAGTTTAGAAGACAAGGAGCCAGCCACACCAAGTAGGAGATGGAGTTTGTACTCAGGTCATTTCTCATCTTGTTCAGAGCTCGTAGGTTGTTTTCAAAGGCAGCTAGGGGTCCTTCAAAAACAGTTTGGAGGGGGTAGAGGTGGTCAGGTATCAGGTGCTTGCTGCTGATTGGTTGTGGCAGAGATGAAATAATAGGGGGTCGAAGCTGTCCTCCTGCATGCTGAATTGATTCTGGGTGGAGCCACAGGAGCTGGGTTGGGGGTCCAGGTGGAGCCATGGGTGTCAGACATGCAAAAACCCTGGAAAGATATCTTAAAAGGACAACCTACAATAGTGGTGTTATTTGCATGACTAATTGGGGAAGTTGCATTTTTTATACCTCAAGAATAATGGCTGGCAATTGTTTATGTCTGCACCTTAGCAGGACTCAAGTTCCTCTCTTTCCCCAAGCCTGATGGTCTCCCATTAGTTTTACAAAAGTGGTTGAATTTGGGGCAAGGCCTATTATCATTTAAACTTTAGCCTAAATGTCTTCCAAAGTTAGCTTGGCCCAATAGCCTAGGAGTAATTAAGGGAGAGGCAGGATGGGGGTTGGGCTAGCTTAGCTTACTGTTGTAATTTTCTCACTGATATAAAACATTTGCTAAGGTGGTTTCATAAGTATGTTTTCAAAATGGGAAAATTAGGATTATTGCATTTGTTTGTTGATTACCATTTGAAGTCTACAGTTTATCCTCCTTCATCCTTGGGGAATTGTATAAAAGAATCTGCTGCATCTTAGCTACTTTTGATATAAAAAGAGATCACATGGTTCAAGCTGGAGCTTATCAATGGCATTGATTTTCCGTCTTGGGCGGACTCTAGGTGTCAAGGGATTAAAGAACGTTTTATATTTTGGATCTCTGTCCATATCTATTTTAAAGTCCCTTTGAGAACATCCTAATGAAATGGTTAAGTTCCCTGACACCCTTCACTGGACATGCGACAGGGATGTGGCTCATCTTGTTCAGCCACCATGCACACTCAAACCCCTTACAGGAGGGAAAGCACAAAGATGGACAGGTGCAGGAACCAGGATGAGCACCCCTGGGCTCTGGCCCAGTGGCAGCTTCCAGGGGTGGGTGTCTGTGACTCCCAAAGCCCAAGTGGGCATGTATTATGGTGTGCTCTTTTAGCCTTGCCATCTACAGATGGCTTAAGTATTAGACAGCTCAGTGGACCTTCTGCCTTTTTGCAAGGGCAGAGGGCCAGTGTAACAGCTCTCTATATCCCAGGCTCTTGTCCAGCATCCAGGAAAAGTCTGATTACACATGGGCTTGAGGGATGAATGTGGGGGTTTTATTGAGTGGTGGAGGTGGCTCTCAGCAGGATGGATGGGAACTAGAAAGAAGATGGAGTGGGAAGATGATCTTCCCCTGGAGTTTCACCATCCAGTGGCCAATCTCCTCTCCAACCACTACCAGCAGAACTCCTCTCGGCATTCAGATACTTCTCTTCCCTTTCCCATGCTGTTCTGCGTTCTTCTGCTCTTCTGTTTGTCTCTTACTCATCTCCTTCTGGAGCCTGGGGTCTGGGGTTTATATGGGTACAGGATAGGGGGGCATGGTGGGCCAAAAGGCAACTTTTGGGCATGAAAACAGGAATGCCCATTATCATTTAGGGCCACAGGTTTCCAGGCTTGAAAGTGGGGCCTTTGCCAGGGAACCTCCCTCTTCTACCCAGTATTTCCACCTCCAGTACGTATCACTAATGCTTGCTGAAGTCTCTCTGTGCTCCTTAGAAGATAGTTAAGTAACACAGTGCATACAAAGAATTTTTTTAATCCCACTTTGACTGGGAAATGCATCCATTTAATAAATGTGATTATGGAGGTAAACCAATGTATTAGTTTGTTTTCATGCTGCTGATAAAGACATACCCAAGACTGGGAGAAAAAGAGGTTTAATTGACTTACAGTTCCACATGGCAGGGGAGGCCTCACAATCATGGCAGAGGCAAGGAGGAGCAAGTCACATCTTACGTGGATGGTGGCAGGTAAGAGAAGGAGAGAGCCTGTGAAGGGAAACTCTCATTTTTAAAACCATCAGATCTCGTGAGATTCATTCACTATCATGAGAACAGCACAGGAAAGACCCACCCCCATGATTCAATTACCTCCCACTGGGTTCCTCACACAACACATGGGAATTGTGGGAGTTATAATTCAAGGTGAGATTTGTGTGGGGACACAGCCAAATCATATCATTCCATCCCTGGCCCCTCCCAAATGTCACATCCTTTGTACATTTCAAAAATCATTTCTTCCCAACAGTCCCCCAAATTCTTAAATCACTTCAGCATTAACTCAAAAGTCCACAGTTCAAAGTCTCATCTGAGACAAAGCAAGTCCCTTCCACCTACAAGACTGTAAAATCAAAAGCAAGTTAGCTACTTCCTAGGTACAATGGGGTTCCAGGCATTGGGTAAAGAGAGCCATTCCAAATGGGAGAAATTGGCCAAAACGAAGGGCTACAGGCCCCATGCAAGTTCAAAATCCAGCAGGGCAGTCAAATCTTAAAGCTCCAAAATGATCTCCTTTGACTCCATGTCTCATATCCAGGTCATGCTGATGCAAGAGGTGGGTTCCCATGGTCTTAGGTGGCTCTGCCCCTGTACCTTCACAGGGTACAGCCTCCCTCCTGGCTGCTTTAATGGGCTGACATTGAGTGTCCACAGCTTTACCAGGTGCACAGTGCAAGCTGTCAGTGGATTTACCATTCTGGGGTCTAGAGGATGGTGGCCTTCTTCTCATAGTTCCACTATGTAGTGCCCCACTAGGAATTCCGTGTGAAGGTTCTAACCCCACATTTCCCTTCTGCACTGCCCTAGCAGAGGTTCTCCATGAGAGCCCTGCCCCTGCAGCAAACTTATTCCTGGAAGTCCAGGCATTTCCATACATCTGAAATCTAGGTGGAGGTTCCCAAACCTCAATTCTTTACTTCTGTGTACCTGCAGGCTCAAAAACACGTGGAAGCTGCCAAGGCTTGGGGCTTGCACCCTCTGAAGCCACAGCCCAAGCTGTATCTTGGCCCCTTTTAGTCATGGCTGGAGCAGCTGGGACACAGGGCACCAAGTCTCTAGACTGCACACAGCACAAGGACCCTGGGCCTGGCCCACAAAACCATTATTTCCTCCTAGACCTCCAGGCCTGTGATGGGAAGGGCTGCCATGAAGACCTCTGACATACCCTGGAGACATTTTCCCCATTGTCTTGGTAAATAACATTCAGCTCCTTGTTACTTAGGCAAGTTTCTGCAGCCAGCTTGAATTTCTCCTCAGAAAAATGGGATTTTCTTTTCTATTACATTGTCAGGCGATACTTTTATGTCCGAAGTTTTATGTTCTCCTTCCCTTATAAAACTGAATGCCTTTAACAGAACCCAAGTCACCTCTTGAATGCTTTGCTGCTTAGACATTTCTTCTGCCAGATACCCTAAACCATCTTCCTCAAGTTCAAAGTTCCACACATCTCCAGGGTGGGGGCAAAATGGCACAGCCTCTTTGCTAAAACATAACAAGAATCACCTTTGCTCCAGTTCCCAACAAGTTCCTTATTTCCATCTGAGACTACCTCAGCCTGGACTTTATTGTCCATATATCCATAAGCATTTTGGGCAAAACCATTCAAAAAGTCTCTAGGAAGTGCCAAACTTTCCCACATTTTCTGGTCTTCTTCTGAGCCCTCCAAACTGTTCCAACCTCTGCCTGTTACCCAGTTGCAAAGTTGCTTCCACATTTTCAGGTGTCTCTTCAGCAGTGCCCCACTTTACTGATACCAATTTACTGTATTTATCTGTTTTCATGCTGCTGATAAAGACATACCTGAAACTGGGAAGAAAAGGAGACTTAATGGACTTACAGTTCCACATGGCTGGGGAGGCCTCACAATCATGGCAGAAGGCAATGAGGAGCAAGTCACATCTTACATGGATGGCAGCAGGCAAGAGAGAGATCAATCTTGTGCAGGGAAGCTCCCATTTTTAAAATCATCAGATCTTGTAAGACTTATTCTCTGTCATGAGAAAAGCATGGGAAAGACCCACCCTCATGAGTCAATTACCTCCCACCGGCTTCCTCCCATGACACATGGGAATTGTGGGAGTTACAATTCAAGATGAGATTTGGGTGGGGACACAGCCAAACCATAACAACTGATGGAAGAGAAGTGACTGGAAGAACCTTCTAACCATTCTCCCTTGTTCCTCCAATCTATTCCCCACACTGGAGCCTCAGCTATCTTTTGAAAATGCAAATTTGATCATATTACCTTTGTTGTAAATGTGCAATGACTCCCCATTGCTCCTTAACACATTCACCAGACCCTTCAAAGTCTAGCTCCTGCTTAACTCTCCAGCCTCATCCTTCATCACAGTCACTCTCCAGCTTTCGTGATCTGCTCCACCAAATGCCTCTGGGTCCTCTTAGTGCTCCTGTTCTCTAACCTATATCTTTGAATCCAACATGCTTAGCTCAAATCTTATTACTCCTTTTCCCTGGCTTCTCACTTGGTAACACCTATGCTGCAGGAAGCCTTCCCTAACCCTGAGGCTAGATTTCATCTCTCTGATCTCATAGCATCTTTTACTTAAATTAGTTAAGAACTGCTTAAGTAATTCAATCAAAGACTAAAAAAAAAAAATCATGCTTCAGGCTAGAGACATGGGTGTTACATTCTTTTTTTATATATATACTTTAAGTTTTAGGTTACATGTGCACAATGTGCAGGTTTGTTACATATGTGCACATGTGCCATGTTGGTGTGCTGCACCCATTAACTCGTCATTTAGCATTAGGTATATCTCCTAATGCTATCCCACCCCCCCTGCCCCCACACCACAACAGTCCCCGGTGTGTGATGTTCCCCTTCCTGTGTCCATGTGTTCTCATTATTCAATTCCCACCTATGAATGAGAATATGCAGTGTTTGGTTTTTTGTCCTTGCCATAGTTTGCTGAGAATGATGGTTTCCAGCTTCATCCATGTCCCTACAAAGGACATGAACTCATCATTTTTTATGGCTGCATAGTATTCCATGGTGTATATGTGCCACATTTTCTTAATCCAGTCTATCATTGTTGGACATTTGGGTTGGTTCCAAGTCTTTGCTATTGTGAATAGTGCCGCAATAAACATATGTGTGCATGTGTCTTTATAGCAGCATGATTTATAATCCTTTGGGTATACACCCAGTAGTGGGATGGCTGGGTCAAATGGTATTTCTAGTTCCAGATCCCTGAGGAATCACCACACTGACTTCCACAATGGTTGAACTAGTTTACAGTCCCACCAACAGTGTAAAAGTGTTCCTATTTCTTCACATCCTCTCCAGCACCTGTTGTTTCCTGACCTCTTAATGATTGCCATTCTAACTGGTGTGAGATGATATCTCATTGTGGTTTTGATTTGCATTTCTCTGATGGCCAGTGATGATGAGCATTTTTTCATGTGTTTTTTGGCTGCATAAATGTCTTCTTTTGAGAATTGTCTGTTCATATCCTTCACCCACTTTTTGATGGGGTTGTTTGTTTTTTTCTTGTCAATTTGTTTGAGTTCATTGTAGATTCTGGATATTAGCCCTTTGTCAGATGAGTAGGTTGCAAAAATTTTCTCCCATTCTCTAGGTTGCCTGTTCACTCTGATGGTGGTTTCTTTTGTGTGCAGAAGCTCTTTAGTTTAATTAGATCCCATTTGTCAATTTTGTCTTTTGTTGCCATTGCTTTTGGTGTTTTAGACATGAAGTCCTTGCCCATGCCTATGTCCTGAATGGTATTGCCTAGGTTTTCATCTAGGGTTTTTATGGTTTTAGTTCTAACATGTAAGTCTTTAATCCATCTTGAATTAATTTTTGTATAAGGTGTAAGGAAGGGATCCAGTTTCAGCTTTCCACATATGGCTAGCCAGTTTTCCCAGCACCATTTATTAAATAGGGAATCCTTTCCCCCATTTCTTCTTTTTGTCAGGTTTGTCAAAGATCAGATGGTTGTAGATATGTGGCATTATTTCTGAGGGCTCTGTTCTGTTCCATTGGTCTATATTTCTGTTTTGGTACCAGTACCATGCTGTTTTGGTTACCGTAGCCTTGTAGTATAGTTTGAAGTCAGGTAGTGTGATGCCTCCAGCTTTGTTCTTTTGGCTTAGGATTGACTTGGCAATGTGGGCTCTTTTTTGATTCCATATGAACTTTAAAGTAGTTTTTTTCCAATTCTCTGAAGAAAGTCATTGGTAGCTTGATGGGGATGGCATTGAATCTATAAATTACCTTGGGCAGTATGGCCATTTTCACAATATTGATTCTTCCTACCCATGAGCATGGAATGTTCTTCCATTTGTTTGTATCCTCTTTTATTTCATTGAGCAGTGGTTTGTAGTTCTCCTTGAAGAGGTCCTTCACATCCCTTGTAAGTTGGATTCCTAGGTATTTTATTCTTTGTAGCAATTGTGAATGGGAGTTCACTCATGATTTGGCTCTCTGTTAGTCTGTTATTGGTGTATAAGAATGCTTGTGATTTTTGCACATTGGTTTTGTATCCTGAGACTTTGCTGAAGTTGCTTATCAGCTTAAGGAGATTTTGGGCTGAGACGAAGGGGTTTTCTAGATATACAATCATGTCATCTGCAAACAGGGACAATTTGACTTCCTCTTTTCCTAATTGAATGCCTTTTATTCCCTTCTCCTGCCCGATTGCCCTGGCCAGAACTTCCAACACTATGTTGAATAGGAGTGGTGAGAGAGGGCATCACTGTCTTGTGCCAGTTTTCGAAGGGAATGCTTCCGGTTTTTGTCCATTCAGTCTGATATTGGCTGTGGGTTTGTCATAGATAGCTCTTATTATTTTGAGATACGTCCCATCAATACCTAATTTATTGAGAGTTTTTAGCATGAAGGGTTGTTGAATTTTGTCAAAGGCCTTTTCTATGTCTATTGAGATAATCATGTGGTTTTTGTCTTTGGTTCTGTTTATATGCTGGATTACGTTTATTGATTTTCGTATGTTGAACCAGCCTTGCATCCCAGGGATGAAGCCCACTTGATCATGGTGGATAAGCTTTTTGATGTGTTGCTGGATTTGCATTCTTTTATAACAGAAGTTAAAATGGAAGTTTCAGTTGATATTCTAAGATAATAGATAACAGATACAAAACTGACATCACAAGCCATTCTGTAGGAGCTTTCTGATTCCCTTACCTCTACTGGCTCCAACCCCCAAGGGGTCAGAAATAGTAGTCAGTAATCCACTGGTAAAAGAAGAAAGAGGGAAGCTGCCAGCCACATTCCTTTCTCAGGCTATAGACTTCAAGCCTACAGTAGGACCCAGGTGGCAAGGGCAAGCATGGCCAAGATTCAAACCATAGTGGTTCCTGGAACTACATCACAGAGTTTATACTGACATGGAATTAATGTTTTTGTCACCAGAAAGGGGTCCTGATCCAGACTTCAAGAGAGGGTTCTTGAATCTCGCACAAGAAATAATTTGAGGTGAGTCCATAAAGTGAAAACAAGTTTATTAAGAAAGTAAAGGAATAAAGAATGGCTACTCCATAGGTAGAGCAGCGGCTGGAACTTCTCAGCTAAGGATACTTATTGTTACTTCTTAATTATATGCTAAACAAGGGGTGGATTATTTATGAGTTTTCTGGGAAAGGAGTGGGCAATTTCTAGAACTCAGGGTTCCTCCCCTTTTTAGACCATCCAGGGTAACTTTCGGATGTTGCTATGGCATTTGTAAACTGTCATGGTGCTGGTGGGTGTGTCTTTTAGACATGCTAATGCATTATAATTAGAGTATAATGAGCCATGAGGTTGACCAGAGGTGACTCTCATCACCGTCCTTGTTTGGGTGGGTTTTAGCTAGCTTCTTTACTGCAACCTGTTTTATCAGCAGGTCTTTATGACCTGTATCTTGTGCTGGCCTGCTATCTTATCCTGTGATTTAGAATGCCTAACCTCCTTGGAATGCAGCCGGGTAAGTCTCAGCCTTATTTTACCCAGCCCCTGTTTAAGATGAAGTTGCTCTGATTTAAATGCCTCTGACGTCTTTAGAGATTGCAAAGTTTAAACTATTAGGCAGAAAATGAGGCTTATACCACATTATGTGAGTTAACTACACTGAAGAAGTTGTTAAATTTTTCTTTAAGTAATTTTCTAGCAATTAGTTGTGTCTCAGTATAAATGGACTTTCAATGTCTTAAGAAGTGAAAGTTCTTAGGAACCTCTTTTGCAGCTACAACATTGCTGAAATTCTTTAAGGCTTTTTTTTCTTCTCACTCATTAAAATATCTTTAGACAATTTCTTCAATTATCATCTATACCAGGATGGTTCCCAGATGCATACTTTTAGTCTAGACATCTCCTCTGAGCTCCAGATTCATAAGCAGATTTGTGACACCTTCAAGGGCACACAATCTGTACAGTCACACAGGGTGCTGTGCTTGGAAGTGCCAACCTTTGGTTTAATGCTCTGCTATAGCCATGTTGAAATTGTTAATAATATTTGAACAAGAGGCCCCAAATTTTCATTTTGCCATGGGCCCTGCAAACTATGTAGTTGGTCCTGCTCCTAGCCTGCACTCCAGCTCCACAAGGAAAATCTAAATGCATCTTAAACTCAACATCTCTGAAACTGAAATAATGATCTTCCCCTCAAACCTGAGCAAGCTTCCCTGGTGCAATGATGGCAGCACCATCCATCTTGTTCTAGCTCCCAGAAGGTTGGGGGCCATCCTTGATCTCTTCCTCTAATTTACTTCCCATTGTTGTATAGTCTTGCTGACCTTCTTCCTAAGTCTCTTTTTTTTCAACTTTTATTTTAGATTCAAGGTGTACAGGTGCAGGCTTGTTACATGGGTATATTGTGTGATGCTGAGGTTTCGAATATGAATGATCCCATCACCCAGGTATTGAGCATAGTACCCAATAGTCAGTTTATCCACCCTTGTACCCCTTCCTCCACCCTCTAGTAATCCCCAGCTTCTATTGTTGCCATCTCTATGTCAATGAGTAGCTGATGTTTAGCTCCCACTTATAAGTGAAAATATACAGTATTTGGTTTTCCATTTCTGCATAAATTCTCTTAGGATAAAGGTCTCCAACTGCTCCCATGTTGCTGAAAAGGACATGACTAAATGTCTGTTTCATCTTTCCCCCTCTCTCCATCATCACTGCCTCACACTCATCCAAGAGGCCATTCTTTCTTAGCCAGACTATTACAAAAGCTTCATAACCAGTTTGCCTTTATCCACTCTGATTCTTTATAATCCATTCTCCCCATGGTATCAAGAATGACTTTTAAATACAGATCTTACCATGTCACACATACACACCATCAAACACACACACTCACAACTGCTTAAAATCTTAATGCTTTCCCATTACTCATAGGTTACATTCTACAACCTTAGCATAATCTACAATTTCTGTGTTCCTGTCCCTCACTACTAGTATTTTTTAATGTGTTTACTTGTAAGGCTAGTTCAACAAACAAATCAATAAATGTGATACATCACATTAACAAAATAAAGGACAAAACCATATGATCATTTCAACTGATACAAAAAAAGCATTAGAAAAAAATCAACATTGTTTCAGGATTTTAATTAAAAACTCTCAACAAATTAGGTATAGAAGGAATGTACCTCACCTCACTAAAGGCCATATATGACAAATGCACAGTTAACATCACAGTCGATAGAGAAAACGTGAAAGCTTTTCCCTTAATATCCACAAGGCAAAGGTGCCTATTCTTGCCATTTCTATTCAACATATAGCTGGAAGTCCTAGTCATACCAGTTAGATAACTGAAAGAAATAAAAGGCATCCAAATTGTAAAGGAAGAAATTAAATTGTCCTTGTTTACAGACACGATATTATATGTAGAAAATTCTAAAGATTCCACCAAAAAACTGTTAGAACTAATAAACAAATTCAGTAAAGTTGTAGAATACAACATCAACATACGAAAGTCAATAGCATTTCTATACACCAACAGCAAACTATCTGAAAAAAAAATTAAGAAAACAATCTCATTTACAATAGTTACAAAAAAGTTAAATCATTTAGGAATAAATTTAACCAAGGATGTGAAAGACCTCTACCCTGAAAACCATAAAACATTGATGAAAGAAATTGAAGAAGACAAAAATAAATGGAAACATCCTGTGTGGATGGATTGGAAGAATTAATATTGTTAAAATGTCCATAGTACCCAAAGCAATCTGCAGATTTAAAGTAATCCCTATCAAAATACCAATGACATTCTTTACAGAAGCAAAAAATATATATATCCTAAAATTCATATAGTCCCACAAAAGACCCTGAATAGCCAAAGCAGTCTTGAGCAAAAACAACAAAGCTGAAAGCATCACACTACCTGACTTTAAAATATACTACAAAGCTATAGTAACAAAAACCACACGATACTGCATAACAAAGATACAGACCAATGGAACAGAATAGAGAACCCAGAAATAAATCCACACATTTACAACCAACCGATTTTTGTCAAAGGTGCCATAAATATAAAAGGGGAAAAGGAAATTCTGTTGACTAAATTAGGCTGGGAAAACTGGATATCCACATACAAAACAAAACAAAAAATAGACCTCTCACACCATATACAAAAAAAGTCAACTCAAAATGTATCAAAGACTTAAATGTAAGTCTCAAAAGTAAAGAACTAATAGAAGAAAATATAGAGAAAAGCCTCCATGACATTGCTTATTTGGATATGAGCTCAAAAGCACAGGCAACAAAAGCAAAAACAGACAAATGAGATTATAACACCAAAAGTTTCTACACAGTAAAGAAAACAATCAATAGATTAAAGAGACAACCTACAGAATGGTGGAAAGCATTTGTACACTATATGTCTGATAAGGGATTAATATCCAGAATATATAAGGAATTCAAACAACTCAACAGCAAATAAAAAATTAAAAAATAAATCTGATTTTAAAATACACAAATGTGCTAAATAGACATAGCTCAAAAGAAGTCATATACACGGCCAACAGGTATATGAAAACATTCTCAACATCACTAATCATCAGAGAAATGCAAATCAAAACCACAATGAGATCTCACCTCACTCCTATTAGAATGGCTACAATCAAAAAGACAAAAGATAAATGTTGATAAGGATGTGGAGAAAATACTTGTAAACTGGTGATGGGAATGCAAATTAGTACAGCCATTATAAAAATAGTATGAAGATTCCTCAAAAAAAACAAAAATAGAATTACCATATGATCCAGCTATTCTTCTACATGTTATATACCCAAAGGAAAGGAAATCAGTGTGTCAAAGAGATACCTGCACTCCCATGTTTATTGCAGCATTATTCACATTAGCCAAGATATGAAATCAACCTAAGTGTCCATCAACAGATTAATGAATAAGAAAGTGTAGTATATGTACACAGTGGGATACTATTCAGCTATAAAAAAATAAAGAAATCTTATAAATGTGCAACAACCTGGATGAACCTGGGGGATATTATATTAAGTAGAATAAGACAAGCACAGAAAGACAAATACCACATTATCTCATTCATATGTGGAATCTAAAAAAGTTGATCTCATAGAAGTAGAGAGTCCCATAGTACTTACCAGAGGCTGGGGCACTTGCAGGGATGGGGAAGGGCTGGAAAGACAATGGTCAAAGGATACAAAATTATAGTTGGATCGGAGGAATAAGTTCAAGAGATCTATTGGACCACATGGTGACTATAGTTAATGACAATACATTATATTATTGAAATATGCTAACAGAATGCATGTAAAATGTTCTCACCACAAAAAATAACTGTGAGTTAATGCATATTTTAATTGGCTAGATTTAACCATTCCACAATGTATATATATTTTAAAACATCATGTTATATAGGATAAATGCATACAATTTTATCTGTCTATTTAAAAGAAATCATTTTTTAAAAAAGGAAAAATATATAGGTTTACTTAATTTTCTTTCTCCTTCTCTCTCTGCCATCTAAACTTCATGATTAAATAACTGTCTGGTTTTGGTCATCACCCTGTGCCAGGACAAGCATGACACAAATATCATCTGATTAGTAAATGCATAACAAAAGAAAGTGCAATAAGGAAAGAAAACAAGAGAGAAAAGAAGAGAAAGAAGGAGGAAGGGAGGGAAAGAGGAAAAGTAGTTGGTGGCAGGTATACTAAGGCTTATTTTAAATCTTTATCCTGATTCACCAAGTGTCCTGGGGACTTGTTTCTGATGCGGAATTTGTAATAAAGCAGATGCGAACCTACCAATGTGGTCTCTTTTCTACAAGAAAATGCAGAAATACCTTAAGGAGTTCTATGTCAAAGAAGATGACTTTGAGTAGTGTTTAAAGTACATTACAAGGATGGAACCCTCAAGAGATAAAATTACTGCAGACTATGTGAAAGTCTACACCATAGGTGGAAAACTCAAATGCCTCCATGGGCCAATCAAGTAATATCAATAACTGAGGCAGGCCAGATATCAAAGAATTAGGTGTGGTGAGGACTTTTGCTACCTGGAAGACAGATGCCCCATCTAAAGAAGCAAATGCTACTCTGTATTGGCCAACTTCTGTTCAATGGGAACATAGGTCCAATAGTGCCAGGTATTGCTACTTTCTACAGAGATGCAAAACTCTGAGTAATGGATGTAAAGCTTCTCTATTTTTAAAACAATGCGTAGTTAACACAAACACTTTGCAGTATGAAGATTTCTTGTTATGGCATCTAGTGATAGTAGTTATTAAGGGACTCAAAGCCATCAGAGCCTCCATGTAGATGGTAGATGATCTCATTTCCTTGGGGAGATTATAGGAAGAAGAGTAGTTTGGATTTGTAGTTTGGACTCATAATCAAGAGTCAGCAAGAAGAAAATAAATGTTCCTTCCACTATATGTTCAAATGAGAGCCAGGAAAAGTGAAGCACAGCTTAGAAAATTGGGCATATTTGAACCAAAAATTTGAACCAATTTGTGAGTGATTTGAGGGACCGACATTTACTGAGACTTGGAGGGCTCCCTAAATTCTCACTGTCAGGTAAGCTAATGAGAACTAAAGTGATAGTGTTTAAAGTACTACTGATTGAGTGCCATAGGTATGCCTAATCCTATTGAAGTTGGGCCCATGAGAGGAAAGATATCAATGGACAGGAGTAAGTCAGTTCGTCAATACTAGTTAAGGTGATTGGCATCTTTCCTGTCTTGAGTCAACATAGTGCTCAGTATGGAAACAAAACTCCATGATCTGCTTTGAGTATGGCAAGTTGCCCATAGCTTTTAGTACCCACATATCCATCTACAGCCATTTCATAGTTCCCACTGGGGAGTAAAGATACCTGTACATTGGCTCTGGTTGTAACAGAAAGACATATAATGGCAACCTACCTCCTGAAGATTTTAACCCTAATTATAGGAGTAGAACCCTTAAGGAGAAAACTAAATTCCAGTATGAATGTGCTCATTCCCAGATATGCCCCCCCCCCATCTCCCAAAACATGGATTGGCATAACCAGACTAAATATAATAACATCTTCAGATGAAACAGAAAATCATCATTCACCTCAGAGAAGAAAAATAAGGGAAAGGGATATAGGACTGTGAATGGGAAGAGAATTTTGCTTCCCTAGGAAGCAAAAATTGTACACTGTGCTCCTCTTTGTGAAGTTTGCTAAGGAAAAACTGCAATGAGGTAGAGAATTGTGTATGAGAGAATCATATACAATGATTTGTCACTTGTTTTCCTCATAAAAATGGTGTGTCACTTGTTTTCATTTGTTTCCAGGGTTTGGAGGGTCTAATTTATATGATGAAAACAAGTGACAAACCATGATTGCCAGGGAGCTGCTATGGAAGAGGAAAGAACAATTTTCAGGAGTATGAGTGATATAATTTGGCTCTGTGTCTTCACCCAAATCTCATGTCAAATTGTAATTCCCAGTGTTGGAGGAGGGGCCTGGTGAGAAGTGATTGAATCATGAGGACGGACTTCCCCTTGCTGTTCCCCTGATAGAGTTCTCACAAGATCTGGTTGTTTGAAAGTGTATAGCACCTCCCACTTTGCTTGCTCTGTCTTCCTCCTGCTTCAGCCACATAAGACATGCCTGCTTTCCCTTTGCCTCCAGCCATGATTGCAAGTTTCCTGAGGACTCCCCAGCCATGCTTCCTGTATAGCCTGTGAACTGTGGCCAATTAAAACTCTTTTCCTTGTAAATTACCCAGTCTCAGATAGTTCTTTACAGCAGTGTGAGAATGAACTAACACAATGAGATGTAAGCATTGCAGAGAATAAGAAAAGCAAGAGGGAAAGCAGCAAAATGGTGAGGAGACTGCAGAAAGAGAGGCAGAGTGGGAGGATTTTAGCAGTTGCCCTAAGCAGGAAACTTTGGGCAGTGTAAACAATATATGAAGAAGTTTTTAGGAAAAGTTTTAAGTGATAAGCTATATAAAATTCCTATCTTGCTACCTCAAACAGATCATCCATTGATGTCTTGAGTAAAATTCATAATAGGGCAGGTTGGGAGGGAGGCAGATGGGGTGAGAGATGTATAAGCAGACAGGCAGGCCAAGCAGCCCGCCTACAATTGGGGAATATTCAGAAAGCCCATCCAGGATCAACATTAAAATTTATTTAAATAGCAGACTTCAAAATGAAACCTTTAACTCAACTATGGAAGTAATGAAATGAAGATACATATTTTAGAAAGCTTATAGTGAAGAAAAACAAAATCTCTGAAGGCTTGGAGATCTTTCCTCCCAGGTCAAATTAGGCACTCAAGCGTACATCATTATGGCTATCTGCCCAGGGTACCATTGCCCACAAGAACTGGGAATCCTTAGCAAGAAGGGTCTTTGCTGCCTACTCAAAGTCCCACTTTAGAGAGGCATCTACTTTGCAAGAATTCTCAGTTCACAAGCCAACAAAATTTGACAGGTTTGTTCAATGCTGTTGGGTATAATTGATTTTAGATTATCCTGATTAAAGTCAGTCTAATTTTCAGACTGTTGTTATACCAAAAGTCCCTGCTGAAAACAATTCTTGTGAGGAGCTTCTGACAGTTTTGGCTTGATTACGTTCCATAAAATCTCCCTGAAGTAGAAGTAACTACAAACAGAGGATATTCAAGCTTATGAAGGCTTTAATACTTCAACCCATGAGCCAACAGGGAGAGCTTGATACAGAGAGTGATAATTTCCAAACATATTGTCCTCTTTTCCTATTATTAAATGAAAATAAAATATAGATTGTTACTGTTACTTAGGGAAAGAAACTGAGCCCTTTGATCCGATCAGACAATTATCAAGGGAACGAAAATGATGAGTGATGTTTTCGGAAGAAAATTACTTTCAAAACAAATATTTCATAATAATTTGTATTGTTAGAGTGGTTTCACCATCCAACTTGATTATTGTATTCTTCTCAAACAAACAGACTGCCCTTTCTAGTAGCCTTGTTTACAGATATATTTATTTCTCTGTTTTTAA
This sequence comes from Homo sapiens, assembly GCF_000001405.40. NCBI lineage: Eukaryota > Metazoa > Chordata > Mammalia > Primates > Hominidae > Homo > Homo sapiens. Next base: position 33,004,865 of record NC_000012.12, on the reverse strand, counting down.
AATCTGATGTATCAGTTATTAATCCTGCTTTGACATATTGCAATCATGAGGGCTTGAAAGGGTTAATACAGTTCTTCAAAGGCCTAAGATGCTACCAGAAAATAGCTCAGAAATTGAAACAGTGTTCAATCCTGGCTGCATATTAGAATCAGTTGAAATGCCTTAAAACAAAAAATATCAAAGCGTAGGCCCTATCCTCTGAGATCCTGATTGATGTGGTCTGGGAAGGGGCTTAGTATTGTTATTTTATATAAGCTTCCCAAGTGATTTTGATGTGCAGCCACATTTGGAAACCACTGAATCAAGAAATTCTGTATAATTATTTTGAAAGCCAATGAATCAGAGCTAAGAAGTGGAACAAGACAAGTATGTCTGTTCTCACCACTTTTATTCAACATGGTACTGGCAGTTCTAGCCAGAGCAATTAGGCAAGACAAAGAAATAAAGGTCATCCAAATTGGAAAGAAGTCGAATTGTCCCTGTTTGCAGATGACATGATTTTATACATAGAAAACCCTAAAAGCTCCACCAAAAAAAAAAAAATAAACCTGATAAACAAATTCAGCCAAGTTGCAGAATACAAAATCAATATACAAAAATCAGTAGCATTTCTACACACCAAAAACAAACTAGTTGAAAAATAAATCAAGAAAGCAATCCCATTTATAATAGCTACAAAAAATAAAATACCTAAGAATAAATTTAACCAAGGATAAAATATCTGCACAAGAAAAACTATAAAAGACTGATGAAAGAAATTGAAGAGGACCAAACATGGAAAAATATTCCATGTTCATGATCTGAAATAATTAATATTGTGAAAATGACTATACTACTAAAAGCAATCTATAGATTCAATGCAATCCCTATCAACGTACCAATGACATTCTTCACAGAAATAGAAAAAACAATCCTAAAATTCATGTGGACCCCGCAAAAGACCCCAAATAGCCAAAGCAATATTGAGCAAAAAGAACAAAGCTGGAGGCATCACACTACCTGACTGCAAAATGTACTACAAAACTGTCATAACCAAAACAGCATGGTACCACAGAAAAACAGGCACATAGACAAATGCAACAGAATAAAGAACCAAAAAATAAATCCACATATTATAGTCAACTGATTTTTGAAAAAGATGCCAAGAATATTCACTGGGGGAAAAAAATTAGTCAAGAAAGAATGATACTGGAAAAACTGGATATCCGTATGCTGAAGAATAAAGCTAGACCCCCTCCCTCTCATCATATACAAAAATCAAAACAAAATGGATTAAAAACTTAAATATAAGACTCAAAATATGAAACTACTAGAAGAAAACAGGGAAAACACTTCAAGACATTGGACTGAGCAAAGATTTTATGGCTAAGACCTCAAACACACAGGTAACAAAAGCCAAAATAGAAAAATGGGATTATATTAAACTAAAAAGATTCTGCATAGCAAAGAAAACAATCAGCAGAGTAACAGAAAATCTGCAAAATAAGAGAAAATATTTGCAAACTATTCATCCAACAAGGGGTTAACATCCAGAATATACAAGAAACTCAAACAACTCAAAAGCAAAAAGTAATAATAATCTTATTGTAAAATGGGCAAATGAGCTGAATAGACATATCTCAAAAAAAGACATACAAATAGCCAACGGGTATAGGAAAAAATGCTGAACATCATTAATTATGAGAGAAATGCAAATAAAAACCACAATGAAGCCGGGCACGGTGGCTCACACCTGTAATCCCAACACTTTGGGAGACCGAGGTGGGCAGATCACCTGAGGTCAAGAGTTCGAGATCAGCCTGGCCAGTGTGGTGAAACCCCATCTCTACTAAAAATACAAAAATTAGCCAGGTGTGGTGGCAGGCGCCTGTAGTCCCAGCTACTCCGGAGGCTGAGACAGGAGAATCACTTGAACCCAGGAGGCAGAGGCTGCAGTGAGCCAAGATTGTGCCACTGCACTCTAGCCTGAGCAACAGACCAAGACACTGTAAAAAAAAAAAAAAAAAAAAACCCGCAGTGAGATACACCTGATCCCAGTTGGAATAGCTATTATCAGAAAGACAAAAAATAACAAATGCTGGTGAGGATGTGAAAAGGGGGAACTCTACTTTTACTTCCCACTGTTGGTGGGAATGGAAATTAGTACAGCCATTATGGAAACAGTATGGAAGTTCCTCAAAATTAAAAATAAGGCTGGGCACAGTGGCTCACACCTGTAATCCTAGTAATTTGGGAGGCTGAGGGGGGCAGATCACCTGAGGTTAGGAGTTTGAGACCAGCCTGACCAACATGGCAAAACCCCATCTCTACTAAAAATACAAAAATTAGCAGGGCATGGTGGCACACGGCTGTAATCCCAGCTACCCAGGAGGCTGAGGCAGGAGAATTGCTTGAACCCGGGAGGCAGAGGTTTGCAGTGAGCTGAGATCGCGCCACTGCACCCCAGCCTGGGTGACAGAGTGAGACTCCATCTCAAAAAAATTAAAAATTAAAAATAGAACTACCGTATGATCCAGCTATTCTGCTACTGGTTATATACACAAAGGAAAGGAAATTTGTGTGTCAAAGAGATAGCTGCACTCCCATGTTTATTGCAGCATTATTCACATTTGCCAAGATATAGAATCAACCTAAGTGTCCATCAGCAGACGAATGGATAAGGAAAATGTGGTACATATACACAATGGAATACTACTCGGTCATAAAAAATAATGAGATCCTTTCATTTGCAGCAACACAGATGAGCTTAGAGGACATTATGTGAAGCCAAATAAGCCAGGCACAGAAACATAAACTCTACATGTTCTCTCCCATACGTGGAAGCTAAAAAAGTTGATCTCACAGAAGTAGAAAGTGGTACATAGTTAAGACTGGGAAGGGGAAGAGGAAATAGTTTTGTTAACAGATACAAAATTATAGCAAATAGAGATAGATAGAAAGAATATGTTCTTGTGTACTGTAGCACTGTAGAATGACTATAATTAACAACAATTTATATTTTCACTAGAAGAATGGATTTTGAATGTTCCCAACACAAAGAAATGATAAATATTTCAGGTGTTGGATAAGCTAATTATGCTGATTTGATCATTACATATCATATACATGTATCAAAAATCACTCTGTATTTTGCAAATATGCACAATTACTGTGTGCCAATTAATAATAAAAACAAAAAATGAACAATTAACATCTGGCACTTAATATAAATTTCAATAAATTGAATGTGATTCAAATGATTAACTCAATACCAAAGAAAGTTCACCTAATAACAGATGTCTTTCCCAAGTAGTAGCAAGATATACAAGTTTTACTAGTACCGTCGTCTAGAATTTTACAGAAAACTTCCCAGATGTTCCAAAGTTGGGAATTATTATTTTGCCTGATGCATAAATATAACAGAATGTATATATAATATTTCAGCTTACTGGTTATTCATATCAAGCTATTAAAACTGGCCCACTCACCACTATAAAACTATACCAAGCTCCCAATAAGTGAAGTAAGGTAATGAAGAGAAATATGTTTTAAGGATATTTGCATATGTTATGACTATATATGTAAAACAATCCAAAAGTAATCTAAAATTAAAATATTAAGATAAATAACTGGGCCAGGCGTGGTGGCTCACACCTGTAATCCCAGCACTTTGGGAGATCAAGGCCGGCAGAACACAAGGTCAATAGATTGAGACCATCCTGGCCAACATGGTGAAACCCCATCTCCACTAAAAATACAAAAATTATCTGGGCGTGATAGCACGCGCCTGTAATCCCAGCTACTCGGGAGGCTGAGCCAGGAGAATTGCTTGAACCTGGGAGGAGGAGGTTGCAGTGAGCAGAGATTGTGCCACTGTACTCCAGCCTGGGCTACAGAGCGAGACTATGTCTCAAAAAAAAAAAAAAAAAGATAAATAACTGAATTTAGCTGTGTTTCTGGATACAAGTTAATACCAAAATCAATTGCCTTTATATATTCCAGCTGCAAAATGCTGAGAATATGATTTTTTAATGATGCCATTTAAAATACCATCAAAATATCAACTCTCTAAGAATAAATCTAACAAATACAAGAAGAGTGCTATACTAAATAGTATAAAATTTTATGGAGAGAAATTAAAGATGACCAGAAAATGTAGGAGAAAAAATCTTGTTCATAGATTGAAATAGTTCATATTGTAAAGATACCAATCTGTCTAGATTGATTTATAGTTTCCATGCATTACCAACCAAAACCACAACAAATTTTTGGGAGAATATAACAAGTTGATTCTAAAATGTACGGGGAATGCAAAGAATCAAGAATAGCACATGCACTATTAAAGGAAAAAAAGGAGAGGTAGTAATTGCGGTGGTGTTAGTAAGAGGCCATAAACTTTCATATATCAAGTTTTACAAGAAACATACAAAGACAAGTGAACCAATGGAATAATAATAATATAATATAGACAGCCCAAAAAAAGACCATGTACATATATATGTATACTCTACCTAATAAAAAGTAAATAAGTTGTGCAGAAACAATTGGATAATTATTTGAAACAAATGAAACTTGAATTCAACCTCAGGCCACGCACAGCTGGCCCAGCTGCTTTGAGTAGCTTGCTGGTGTGATGGCCAGGCTGGAAGGGCCCTGCTGGGATTGCTCATCTCTGCTCTTGTTTTCCAGTAACCCAGCCCAGCCTTGTTCACATGGCAGCAGCATTCCAATAGAGTCACGGTTCTTAACTGGGGCAATTTTGCCCCCATTCCCCAGAGAAATTTGGCAATGTCTACAGACATTTTGGTTGTCACAATTTGGGAAAGGGAAGGGCAGTACTTGCTACTTGCACCTAGTGATAGAGGCCAGGGATGCTGATAAACATCCTACAAAAGAGGCCTCAACCATAAAGAATTATCTGGCCCAGAATGGCAGTAGTGCTAAGGCTGAGAAACATTGCAATAGGGGAAAACGGAAGCTGCAAGATCTCTAAAGGTCTAGGCTTAAAATTCATACAATATCATTTTCACTTCATTTTACCAGTCAAAGGATCACAAAGCTAGTCCAGATTTGAGGAGCTGAGAAATAGATTGTACCTTTTGATGAGAGGAGCTACAAAGAATTTATAGACAACTGTTACCTACCACAAAAGCTGATGCTTTGGGGAAGGGTTGAACCACTAGGAGGATGTTGATGCCTTTTAATGAAGTGGAGAAGATTGATACAGAAATAGGTTGAGCTTAGATAGAAGGATTCAGGGATGGCTCTGAGATTTCAGAAATGGAAACATTTCTAAGGAGACAGAGAGGCAGTAAACTAAAATAAGAAGGCATGGATACTGTGTAAAATTCAAGCCTGACGGATTGTTTTTGAGATACTTACATAATTATCTAGGAGACGAACTGAGTCAATTGAGTTAAGTTCTATGAATGTGGGATGCCAAGAAATTTGTTTTGACAGTTAATAGGGGTAAGAAAAACTCAAAGTTTATCTTATTGCCAATATCACCATAATGACATAACTGAAAAAAGAAAAGTTCAGCTTCAAAGATAAACACTGAAAAATACCAAGGTCTTCACTAAGACCGCTTGGCAAGTCAGCAAAAGGGGAATTACATTACAAGTATTTTTTTTTATTATTATACTTTTTCCTTCCATTTTTATTACTAACTTTTTTTTTTAATTTTTTATTTCCGTAGGTTTTTGGGGAACAAGTGGTATTTGGTTACATGAGTAAGTTCTTTAGTGATGATCTGTGAGATTTTGGTGCACCCATCACCCAAGCAGTATACACTAAACTCAATTTGTAGTCTTTTACCCCTCACCTCCCTTCCACCCTCTCCCCTGAGCCCCCAAATTCCATTGTATCATTCCTATGCCTTTGCATATTCATCGCTTAGCTCCCACTTACAAGTGAGAACATATGAATTAAGTACAGGTTAATAACTTACTCATATTTTAAATTTTTTAGCTCCTGTTCAGCTGCATGAAGAAAAATGATTTTATGGCACTTTGTTGCCTGCAACTGGCTTACTCATCAGTTACAGAACACTTACAGGGATAAAAATGGGTCTCAGTTTCCATTTCCAGGTATAAATGAGCAGAAACACTTCAGACCCAAGGCATAACCGGGACTTTCCTCAAACTGTAAGTTATCTCACCCTAAGTGTAAGTTTTGGGAACACACACGAAGAGCATAGCCAGAGACCATGGCTTTTCTTTTTTTTTTATTATTATTATTATACTTTAAGTTTTAGGGTACATGTGCACAATGTGCAGGTTAGTTACATATGTATACATGTGCCATGCTGGTGTGCTGCACCCATTAACTCGTCATTTAGCATTAGGTATATCTCCTAAAGCTATCCCTCCCCTCTCCCCCCACCCCACAACAGTCCCCAGAGTTTGATGTTCCCCTTCCTGTGTCCATGTGTTCTCATTGTTCAATTCCCACCTATGAGTGAGAATATGCGGTGTTTGGTTTTTTGTTCTTGCGATAGTTTACTGAGAATGATGATTTCCAATTTCATCCATATCCCTACAAAGGACATGGACTCATCATTTTTTATGGCTGCATAGTATTCCATGGTGTATATGTGCCACATTTTCTTAATCCAGTCTATGATTGTTGGACATTTGGGTTGGTTCCAAGTCTTTGCTATTGTGAATAGTGCCGCAATAAACCTACGTGTGCATGTTTTCACAGAGAAACTGCATTCATCCTGCTCTGCAGTGTTTGAAGCACGTGAGCATCAAACAATTTATTTCCACCAGTTCAATGATAGATTCCAAAAATCTTAAGATCAGAGAGGAAGAACTTTATGGGATGATGTGAAAACCACTGTCTTCATGTATAATCTTTTCCTTGAGTTGAATTCAGAGCACTTCTTACCTTCTTAATATATTCTATTTTATCTATATTCAAGCCTGAAGTAAGATCTGTTTATTCCCGACTTTAAAATATTTTAGCCCTTTTCACAAAGCCACCAGCCCCCACCTCCACTGCTTTCCTCTAAAAGCAAACATACTCCACTGTATTGAATATTGTATTAATTCTTCTAATTAAAAATCATTTTCCTTTCTTGTCCCTTTTCAAGGCACTATCTTCCCTTTTCACGTGTCAGTTTTTCTTCTTCCTGAATTGCAAAGGTGAAAAAAAAAAGAAGGTGAATAATGTTGTGAATGTAAACACGTCTGTTGCCATGGGAGCCGCTGAGCGACAAGAACCACTTGTGGCTGCAACATTTGCAGGAGGCCACTTACCAAACCTGGCAATTCTAATTCAGTAAACAGGGACAACAGTGGGCATCGTTAGAGAAAATTGCTTATTTTACTGGGAGGGAGAGAGGCAAGCTAGGAGGCTTCGAGAACTCTATAGGATGTACAGTCGATGTTGATGAGCATGCCCGTTGCCTAATGAAGTGGTTGTTTTTCAAAGGGGCTTGGTAAAAACGCAATTTCCAGCTACCTTGACAGCAAGGAGGTAGACTAAGGACACATCCTGTGTTTGCTGACAGTTCCCCCATAGGCCTGGTGATGAGGCCAGGGTGAATACAGTGCCATCCTGTAACTTAGAAAACCATTGCCAAGTTGCTACCTATTAGGTACCACAAAATTCTGAGCAATGTGCAAATCCAGTAAAACTTGCCCATTTACTTAGCTTTAAAAAAAAAAAAACTGCATAAAGTGCTCAGTACTATGGAAAGAAAACTGCAGCTGCATTCTTCATTCTTCTCCTTCTTAAAAATGCGATCAATTAAGGAATCTTTTCATTTACCAAAAGCATTGTTATTTGTCCTGTGCGTCAAAGGGTTTGGGGAACATCTTTACGCATTTTGTTTTCCAGTGATCTTAAGAAAAACGTTAACAGGAAAAATTAGCTACACCCACATTTCTGAGATTTTACAAGCCAGAACAGAGGACCCACCTCCTGAAGATTTATACCTAGGAAGAGGATATGGAATAAAAATTATTCATGTCCCGTAGGCCATCACCAGAACCAAGACCCCAGGAATGAGGACCTCAAGGGTTTAACTTGTCACGATCACAAAAAATATTCGAATGAATTCCTTGAGAGCTCATTTGACTATGCAGGCTCTTTTTAGCCTTCTCTTTTGTTCACAGGACAGAACAATTTCTGGCACACATAGCTGGTACTTAATAAAATTTATGTAATTGAATTTAAGTAGACAAAATGAAAAGTTGTTAAAACAATTAATTATACCAAATTTGAGTAATTGAATATGACTCAAGTGTGATAAAAAGTTCTTAAAAGACTTTAATTTCTACATTCTTTATTAAAATAGTGGGGTTTTAATTGTATTATAAAAATATCAAACCCATTTTTCTATAAACCACTAAAAGATGTTCAGTCTTGTTTTATAGAGGCAGAGTTTGAACAATAGAAACCACAGGGACCAGAGTTGGGTTTTTGTTTTTTTTAATTCTATGTCCAGCTTGGACCCTAATTGGCTGCATGAACTTAGGAAATCCTTGATGCTTATTTTTCTCATCTGTAAATATTCTCCCTGGTGAAGTCCAAATGACATTATAAATATGAGGGCAATTCAAAAATTATAAGCGATCAGATGAACTATATAAAACTAACCTCCTTTGTGTCTTTCTCCTTTGAGTCTTTGTACAAATGCCATCTTCTCAGTGAGGCCACCCTTGGGCACCTTGTCTAAAACTACAGCCTACTGCCAACCCCATCCCTGCTTTATTTTTCTCCTTGGCACCATCATCATGTTGCATATTACATATCCAACTTATTTGGCTTGCATATGGACTCACTGCTTGCTGGAATATAAACTCCATAAGAATGGAGGTTTTTTTACTGTTTTTTCCTAGATATATCCACAGACCTAAATAATACATGTTTTAAAATATTTTTTAATTAATAAATGCAAAAACAAATGACTAATTTGCTGTCAGTTTTTTCTAAATGGCTTTTCAACATGATAGAAATATTAACCAAGTCATTCTATCAAGGCCTCTGATCATATCTGTTAAAGTCAGCAGAGTCCAGTGAAAGAGCTCAGGATTGTGAGTCAGGACACCAGCAAAGTAGAGGATCTTGGGCATGACTCACAACAAATCCGTATCTGCCACAGCTACAAGCTATAGAATTGTTATCAGCATAAAATATGATGATGTGAGTAAAGTGCTTTAAAAGTTAAAAGCACCAATAAGGTATTACAGTCTGTACTGCTATTAAACAGCGCCTTAATATTTTGTCTTAATTCTGGTGCCTTAATATTTTGTCAGGGACATTAAGCACAGTAGGAGTAAGAGTGGCAGTTGCAATGCAAACATTTTCAAAGGAGTGAAGAGAAGGAAACTGCAGTTGGTCTTAGCCTCTCTACTATAAGTAAATGTGGTTGTAACCTGTCATAGGCTGCAGAGTAGAGCACAGACCACAGAGCCTTGGCCAGAGATCAGGGCACCACAGTGTCCTTCGTGAAACTTGAAACAGTTGAGTTGTGAAGCAAACTCAGATGTTCCAGCAAATTACAATGTGTAGATTAAAGTGCCTTGTTCAACAAAGCATAAAACACATAATTAAAAACATGTAAAAATTAATCATATATCTGGAAATAATAAATCACTGCCTCCTTCAAAGTGTCATGAAAATGGAAGTTTCTTCTGACAGATTCCATTGTTCTGTAGGTACTATTTTCTTGGTATGATGCCTTTCAGTACCCCTGCACATGATTAATTTTCAAATAACATGAAGTTTTCGAGCATTATAATTCAGAATAGTTTCCTAGGCTTCTTATTTCTCTTTCCTCAGAATCATTAAATATTAGGTATGGAGAATGGTTTTTGATGATAAAAGTCTTCTAAAGTGAGCTGAGTCAGAAACAAGGAAATGTCTAACCCTGTGCATTGGAAAGTGGGGTGCCCTCTGGGGTCACTGCCCTGTGTTTCCATCACAGCTCAGGAACTGTTTTAACTGGTTTCCCCAGCTGATTCCCAAGTGGGTCGTCTGTGGAATGAGTATGGTCATCTGTGGAACTGGTGGATCTGTGATCCCTTCAGATGTTCACTGCATGAGTTGAAATGCTTGAGAGTTTTTGATCTTTGATCTAAAGAAAGAAGGCTAAGTAGAGGAGAAAGGACAGTCCTAGGATGCCTGAAAGAAGAAGGGATAGGGAAGAGGAAGAAACTAAAGAGGCATGGCCTCTGTCTCCTCCCATGACCTGAGTCCCTATGAAAAGAAGAGTTAGGAACAGAAGCTGGACAAGCAATAATTGGTGGGGCAGGGGAGATGGGGGAGCTGTGAAATAGTCGTAGAAGCCGTGTACATCAGCTGTGTACTTCAAGGGGCTGCACAGAGATGGAATGCAGTCATCCTCTAAACTGAACCTCTCTTGCCCCTTACAGCACCCCATGCTGCCACTGCCCTCAATTCAGATCTGGGGCAAAGGGGTCCAAGGGCAGCTCCCAGCCCAGTGAAGATCTAGTTGACAGTAAAGCTCAAAGAAAGCATTTCCAGCAGGGAGAGTGCTGACCACAGCAAGGCAGGAGTCAGCGTGGAAGAAAGGAAGCAGCCTGGCTTCTGACCCTCCCGAGACACGCATGGGGGAGGACTAGAAGGGCTGTTCTCACACGGGGAGGGGCAAAAGGTCATTGCAATTTGGGTGTTAGTGTCAACAGGACTTCATCTCTGCCCTCAGACAGGTAAAACTTGGGGAAATTCTGGTTGCAGGGAGAGGAGTTTGCTCAAAGGCTCACTGAAAGGATTAAATAGGAGAACATAAGAAGGTGCATGGCACAGTGGTCTGACACATAGAAGGTACTGCATAAACGTAGTCTTAGAAGATTTCCCAGGTACTTGGGTGCAAAAGTGTAGAAAGAATATCGATACCCCTCCCCCAAACATCTTTCTCTGTCCCCCACCCCTTACTTAAGCATCCTTATCCAAACTACAATGGCTCCAGGGTCTAGACGGTTGTCCAAGAGGGTCCAATAGCTTATCGTACCCTGCAAAAAATAATCACAGGACTTCCACTGACCATTCCATATCAGGGGACAGAAACACACACTGGAATATGCCATCTGCTTTTGTCCTCAACCTCATGGCACCTTTTAACTGTCTTTTAAATTAATAACATCTTCTGAAACATGAGAAAAAGAGAATTTTTTTTATTTGAAATAGTGCCAATACTAAATGAGTAAGTCTGAAGTGAGTTAGTCATAAACATGTCACCTGGCTCAGAGAATTTTATATCCAAATCACCATCCCACAGCGGTGTCTTTGCAGTTTCTCTTGGCTCACTGTGCTATTTTTGAAGCCTTATAATGTTGCCCTCAGAAAGAGCCTGCAAGAAAAGAAGTCGAAAGAAAAGACTAATCTAATAAAAATCAAAATGAGGCTGCATGCCAAACACGACAAAATAAAACATTTATCTCTCCCAGGGGTCTGCCATAGCCGGTTCTTATGGCTCATATACTGCTGACAAGTTTTATGTTGTCTTGATTACATCCAAAGCAAAATTGCCCCAAATTATTTAATCATATGCATGCCAGGAATGCACTATATCTGACAAATATAAAGTGAAATCTACTGCCTTTGTTTTCCCCAGGTTTCAATATGCAATTGTGTAGACTTTCTAAGTAACATGAATGTGTAAAATAGGTGTAAATTAAAATATTAAAAATTCAGGTCGATTCATTTGGGTGAATAATTCAAATGTGACACTTCATAGCTGTGTACTCCTAGAAAATTCTCATTAGACCTTAGTAAAAGTGCTCTAATGTACATAGTATTATATATGTGGTCATAAAAGATCTTCAGGTTGGGAGACTTATTTTCTTGTGAGACTTCCCCACTGTACCCTAACCCATTTATAGTGCAATGTAGAATTCTTTATAGCTATATGAGAACTTAAATAGCAGCAAGTCCAATTGCTCATTTCAAAGATGAGAAATAAACGAAATGCAGCAAAGTAGTCTTTTTGGGTTAAATCTTTCCGAAAATGTACTTTAAAAATCTCAACCCAAGAAAATGTTTATAAGGGCTTTAGTCACTTGAGTCTAGCCTCAGAGGCCTGTAAGAAAATGCATTTTTGTCACCAAGCAACAGGAAATATGATGCAAAAGACTGCATGTTTGTCTCCCCCAAGGGACTGAATTCATCAAACAAAAGTACCATGTTCCATTATCTTTATATCTTTAACGATATACATAATAGACATTAAATAAGGAGACATATACCAAATATTCCTCCTGCTCACCCTATTTCAAGAACAATTCGTCAGATCTTCCACATAATTCTCCCCAGTTATGGATTGTGTCAGCACCAGATACCAAATATTACATGTAAATTAAATACTGTAGAACTATTTTTAGTAGCACAGACCACTATTCGTAGTTGGTGGTCTTGACTAGCTGCTGAATTAATTTCTGCCTGTGCATAAAGAGAATATACAGAAGACAGCACAGAGTTGAAAAATATCCATTTACTTATAAGTGCCCAACTGTGGGTACTGCACATAAAACCATTCTCTTTAAAAAGAATATTCTCTAAATGCATAAAGATCTTGGAATTTGGTTGGGTTTACCTTATCCCTCATAATAAAAAATCACTATCTCAGTTCTTATGCACTAATTATGGTAAAGCATCCTAAATTGTGCAGTAGGCATTGTCTTTTTTGCCTATGAATTACATTTTATCTTGCTATCATTGGTTTGCTGGGTGAACTATTAAGAGCTTATTGCTATTCAGACATAAATGATAGCTTTGACCACCCTTTTTACCCACCCTAAAATGTATTTTTATGCTAAAGCTATCCAAATGAGTGATTTTAAATATAATTATTATATATATAATATATGATTATATGGAAGTTAATATGGTTATGTCAATAAGTAGTTTGTAACTGCCAAGGAAATATTATTTTTTAAAGTTTTTCTCACTGTTTTTAATAGAGGGGTAATAGTTCCTGTAAGAATCTCTAAGCAGTTTTACAGAGAATAATTTCACTAACCATTGCAGTATACTTCTCTGAAAATGAGATTCTTAAAGGAGTGAGATGCTGGCAGACTGCACTGAGGGTGGTGATGAGCTCTGGGAGATAAAGACCTGACCCTCCCCATACTGCTCAGACTGGGAAACTTTTATAGTTGTCTCTACAACTGTTCCAATATATGAAGGCACACTTCACCTAACATGTGCAGACTTAGAGCATGTATGTTCAATATATGAATGCACATTTCACCTAGCATGTGCAGACTTACTACCAGCAAGAGTAACCACTAAGGGGGCTTTGAAGCATCAATCTTAATATAGTTCAAGTTCTGCCAAGGGAAAAATCTAAACATTTGAAGGACCACAGCAGATGCTGTTGCCACACTCCCTCCCGTATCCCCTCAGCCTCAACTCTGAGTTCCTGTAGCTGTCATGGACAATGAGCACGTTGATAACTTCCCACCTCAAATACTCTTCCCTATCTCTCCACCTGCGGGCTCTGTCTCCCCTAGGAGAGATTGCTTAGGCTACTTGCGTGCACAGTTGGCAGTGTAAAATTCTTAACTTTATTCCACTTTGGATGTGCTTTGCAGTTCCTATTCCTGCTAATATGGTGCAAAGCTACTATAAGCAAGGTTCTCTCAATCCATACTTGTCAGCAATCTGGAAGTGCTAGGAATTCCACACAAAGAGCAACCCTCAACCAATGAGGAGAGGGAGTAGGTAGATAAATACCACAATTTCCTTGCCCCTCAGCAGAACAAGTCTAAGTTCCTGAGTGTGTCCCCAGCTAGACAGAACCCTATTTCCTACACAGGTAATCCACCTCTATGAATGCACCCTCAAGTGGCTTTTCTCCTGAGAAAAGAAAAATAGCTCAGAGCTGTCTGAGCTACCTGGGGTATACAAAATTTACCAGGCACTAAGAAACATGGTTCTGTCCAGCGCCTGAACCCATGCCTGGAGGCAATTGTTTAAAAGCATTTTTTTCGTGACTAGGGGTCTCACCCACAGTCTTCCAATTCCTGGAATATGTGATACAAAGAACAATGTACAGCCAACCACTAGCTTTAGTAATCTTAATGTAAATCTTGGTAAACAACTTAGGAACTGCCTCTTCTTTTTCCTTAAAAACCCACTTGTAAAGGCTGCTAACCAAAATGTATATCCTGGGCAACTTGAATCTATGCTCCTGGGTGGCCCTTCTCAAACTTTAGGCTTGAATACACGCTCTTTGAACTAGATTTTGACCTTTTTGTTTGTTCTAGGTCCACACTCCCTGTCTTCACTCACTTTCTTAGCTCCTTCCTTTGTGCATCCTGGAATCCTCCCAGATAAACTACCCACCTCCAAGTACTGCTTTCTGGTTCTGCTTTTGAGGGATCATAACTAAGACAAAACCTTCCTTCAAAGTCAGTGGTAATGGGCAAATTTAAGGGAGTTAATGGGGTTAACTATTAAGTTAGTGGGGTTAGTGGAGAGAGAAGGGGAGGAAGAAAGAAGCGTCACCTTTTACTTAGCTGAAAATGTGTTCCAGTCATGATATTCACAAACGTACCTCTTATGCTAGGAAGATCTTATAAAAGACATATTCTCTATTTTCAAATGATGGCTGTTTTCAGCACAGTTTCTGGGGCTATATGTCCACTGACATTTTCCTTATGATATTTGATTTTCAGTAACTAGGTATGTCTATGGACTCCACCCTTTGTTTTTTCTGATAAAGCTTACAGATTTACTAGTGATATTTCAATGCTGCTTTGCCTTTCATTGTCTCCAGCTACTATCAGTCTGGCTGATAGTAACTGTTATGTATATGAGTGAAAGAAGGAAAGCAGAGAGAGAAAGGAAGAAAAGAAGAAAACATAGCAATGCTTTAAAATGCATTAGGTGATAAGCCATGCAGTTCTACAGAGTAAGTATGATTCATTTTGTATACATGATTTATAGTATTTGCAAATTCCTGGGTTATCTGTAATTCTTAGCAATAAGCCTAGATATTCCTTAAGGTCAAGTGAGAAAATAAGTTTGACACATCAGAAACTCAGGAAAAGTACTGAGGCCTGAGGAGCATTCTTCAAAGGAAATTAGTCTGAACACTAAAACAGAGTTCAGTACAGGAAGTCAAAACAAGGCATTCCAAGTTCTTAGCAGAATGGCTTAGTTTGGGGATCATTTTACTCTCTTACATGGAGAAACAAAGAATTCAGAAATCAAGTGTGCATAAAGAAAAACAAAATACTTGAATTTTTTCGTCCAACAAAAACATAATACATGAAGATGAAACTCATGGTGAGAAAGCTTATGAAAATTAAGGTAGTAAATAATTTAGTTCTCACCAGAGATTGTCTTGAACTGACTTGTTTAATATGTTTCTGAAGACATTATTTCATTCTCCACCCTCCTTAAAATAACACAAACTAAAGAAGAAAGTAATATTGAAATGTTTGTGTTTTTTATTTGTTTATAGCACTCTCTCCAAATCATGTTTTTACAAAGGGACTGATTGTGGAAAATGTTTTATGAAAATATTTTCTGTAGATTCTAGTCCAATCACCTTGGAGTGTGTCTGATCTTTTACTTCGTACCTCAAGAATGTAATCTTCTGAATTTTCTTTCCAAGACAAGCAAGCTTTCATTTAGTTGAGGAACTACAATAAGGAACGCATCCCGGCTAGAATTTCAAACCACTGAGCTCCTGGCAACTTGCCCTTCCTTGTCATTTCTTTGACGCTTTCTCTCCTCCTACCTGTCTCTTTTTCACTCCCACATACCCTCAGCCCCTCTCTCTCCTCCATGGGAGCAACATGGTTGCTAATTGGAATGATGGGAATGCTTTGAAGTCACTCAGGCATAATAATTTGCTTTCTATTTTTAAAAACAGATCTACTAGTAAAATAAGTGTCAGGAAAAGTGGTATAATCAAATGTGCTTTGTGCCTCTTTCAGAGAACAAATAAATTTTTCCTTCTACAATAATGAGTATTAAGTGGAAATGGTTTAGAGATTTGGAATAAACCTCACCTCTATCTCCAAATTCTTGGCCTTGAAATATTGATGGTTGATCAGAAATGCACACAGGATCGGCCAGCTCCAGCAGGCCAAACTCAGAAAGAATGCCAGGAAGCTTAATGTGGAGGCTTAGTCCCAGGGTCAGCAGTGCCTTAGGTCCCTTTTCAATCTTCAGGTCACAAACAAGATCCTGCACAGTCTGCATTATATTCACAAGCTATAATATTTTAATCATTCTTGGCTGCTTCTCTACTTGGTTGGAATGGATGTGGATGAGTAGAAATTGAGGTGATAAAGATTAAAGTAGGCCAGCACAGTGGCTCATGCCTGTAATCCCAACATTTTGGGAGGCCAAAGCAGGTGGATCACTTGAGGCCAGGAGTTCAAGATCAGCCTGGCCAACATGGTGAAACCCCATCGCTACTAAAAATACAAAAATCAGCCAGGTATGGTGGCACGTGCCTGTAATCCCAGCTACTCAGGAGGCTAAAGTAAGAGAATCGCTTGAACCAGGGAGGCAGAGGTTGCAGTAAGCCGAGATGGTACCACTGCGCTCCAGAGTCCAGCAAGACTCTGTCTCAAAAAAAAAAAGATTGAAGTAAATATCTTTTCAAAACCCAGTAGAAAAAGAACAGCTGTTTTTATTACAAATAGAAAAGGCTATTCCTAGCAACACAAAAAGAAAAGACTGTTTTATATTTGTAAATATGTACACCAAAGCTTCTCACTCCAGGTGCCTCTTGGTCTTGGAAATTGGGTCACACTGATTCTCTGGTAGTCATTTTCAAAAAAGATGACTGCTGAAATCAAGTTCTATATACCATGCCTTGTGAGGTATGGTATATTCCCAAAGTAATTCAAGCAAAATCTCATGATCTCAGGTACATTCATGACAGACTCTGTTCTTGACCAAACCCTAGTATGACTTCTAGCAGATTAAGATTTCGTCCCTAAGATGACCTCAGCTCCCTCTTAAAATGTCTGCCTGCGAAAGCTTGCAATTATAAATCCTTTCTCTGCCCTTGAGATATAAATCTTCTATCACGCAAAACTGTCTCCTCAAGGACCTGGGAGCCATCTCTCTGAAATGCAAACATTAGGAAGATAACTCTTCCTCTCAGTGTGAAGGTAAGGGCATAACATCTGCAGCCCCTTGCCCCAGCTTGCACAACTTCCCCTGTCATAAAGATGTAAGAAGTTTGTTTCTCCTCCAGATAAGCACCAAGTAGCAAACCTAGATAACCTAGTGACACAGACCATATGCCCCTTAACACTCATCAGTGTCTTTTCTTCAGCACACCCCAGTATTTAAAAAGTGCCCCACCTTTTGTTGCAGCAGAGTTGAGCTCAGGTTACATTGGCTATTCTCCCCTATTACAAGAGTACTGAACAAAATCTGTCTTTATCACCTTTAACCACCATCTGGTTTTGTCTGCCTTTGACATCAGCTGGCATTCAATAAAGGAAACAGTAACTACTCTAGGTGTTTCAAACAGAAAGAATTTAAATGCCGGTAATTAGGTACTTACGTTGGAAGAATTAGAGATAGGGTTACTAAGTTTACTGTCCAAATTAAGCATTTTTTGCGGGGGGGAGTTGTTATCTTTTAATTGTCATTTTATAGCTCCCCACTGCAGCTGACCCACACCCTTCCCTTCAACGATGACGTTTGCAGGCTTCAAGGGGACCAGGAAACAAAGCTGGGGCCTGGCAGCCCCACTACGCTGCCAGCCGGGGAGAACAAGTCACAATTACAAATTGTCACAACAATTAGCACCTGTACTTGGGGGCTCTGCATATTGAGGAGGCCCCAGCTCCTCATTGCACAGGGGTCTATTTGGCAGTGACCTTGCTCTGGAGATGATGATATTCCTTCAGCCTGAGGGAACTGATGTTGATGAAACCAGTAGCATCAATTGGCTCATAATCACCCTGCATGTTCACGCTCACCAGCTTTTCATTGTAGAGAGACAGTGGGGACTACCGGCCGAGGATGTACACCTGGCCCTTGAAGACAGACACCTGCACTTTCCCTTCCACTGGCTCCTGGGACTTGGCGAAGCAGTGGCAGGCAAATTCACACTCAGTGCTGTGCCAGAAACCGGTATATACCAGCTCAGCAAATTTCAAGCCCAGGCCTTGTTTGATTTTGTGCACTTCCCAGTCCATGGTGAAGGCCTTGATGTCTAAATGAGCGTGGTAAAGGATGGTGCCTGCCGGGGCCTCCTAGATACCTCGAGACTTCATTCCAATAAAGCGGTTCTCCACGATGTCAGTACGGCCCACGCCGTGTTTGCCCGCGACTTCGTTCAGGTACATGAAGAGCTCCAAGGAGGTCTGGTAGGTGGAGCCATCCTTGATGTCAGTCACCTTCACGGGGACCCCTTTTTTAACTCAATCTCGAGAATGTCAGGGGTGTTGGGGGCCGGGTCCTGGGTCTTCGCGTAGAGACCTGGAGGCGCTTGGTTCTTGGGATTCTCCAGGATTCCAGCCTCGTAGCTGATGTGCATGAGGTTCTTGTTCATGCTCCACAGGTTCTTGGGAGTGACCAGGATGGGAATCCCGTGGTGCTTTGCGTATTCCATCAGGTCGTTGTGGCCCTTGAACCGGTTGTAGAACTCAGGCATGCTCCAGGGAGCAATGACCTTTATCTGGGGAGCCAGCGAGTAGCAGTTGAGCTCAAACTGGACCTGATCGCTCCCCTTTCCCGTGACGCCATGGGACACATACTTGGCCCCCTCCCGGTGGGCAATTTCCACTTGTTTGCAGGCGATGCAGGGCCTGGTGAGAGAAGTGCCCAGGAGGTAGCGGTCCTCATGCAGTGCGCTGAACTGGATGGCTGGCCAGATGAACTCCTCCACAAACTCCCTGCTGACATCCTCAATGAACACCTTTTTGGCCCCAAGCTTCAATGCTTCTTCCTGGTTTCCTTGAAATCTTCCTTCTGGCTAATGTTGGCCAGGTAGGCAATGACATCATAGCCTTGTTCCTTCAGCTACAGGAGGATGCAGGAGGTGTCCAGGCCACCACTGTAGGCCAGAACCACAGAGCCTTTTCTGGACATAGCGTCTGGGATTGGAGGCGCTTGTTCCCAGCGTCTGGAATCTGTCTTCACGATGCAGTGAACCACTCAGGCCCCAGCAGCGGTGGCAGGCGACAGAGCAGGGCCACTAAGAGCAGGTTTGAGAGTGAAGAGGACTGGTGCAATGGGTAGAAAGCAGGCCTATCCCAAGCATATGGAACAAACTAAGTCAGGCAGCCACTACTGTATCAAAGTCACACCAGTTAGCTGGTATTCAGAGTTTTGGAGCTTCTGCTCCCACTGCTGCAGCCACATCCCTGAAAGCCTCACACCCACAAAGCTGGAGCCTAGAAAGGGAAAGGCTGAGGCCAGCCATGTCAACCTGCAGCCAGAGCACGCCTGTCAGGAAGACAGCCCCCTCTTCTTCTGCCTCCCCACTCTGTTCAAGGACTTCTCATCAGCAGGACCTGATTCATGTCCAGACCCCTCCCTGCAACTGAGACTGGAAATATCACTGATAGTTTTTCATCCTTTCCACAAAGAAGGAAGATGAAATGCAAGTTCTACCATCATCTCCTTTTCCAGGCTATTCGGCCTTGATTTCACACTGAAAAATAGGTCTCTGCTCTGTCAAAACTCTAAAAAATGTGAGGTATTGAGACTTCCCAAATCTCTTCAAGATTGTCTGAATGATATCTGGAAAGTCTGACCCAGGACTATTCACTTTTTCTACCTGTTGTTAAATGCTGGTCCCAATTCTATTTCCAGTAAGAAGGAGGCAAAAATGATGAAGAGGTAAGTGTTTTTTGCCCCAAATCTCTATTAATAATCAATGCATTAACACTTTTTCAAAACCGTAGTTGAAGTTGTTCTCTAAAGTTTTGATGATAAAAGCATAAAGGATCTATGTGGTCAAGAGCAGGGCTGCCTACAGAGTTATGAATGCAGTGGTTGGGTTTATGTTTCAGTGACTGTGTTGTGGAATACTTAGTTACTTGGTTTGTCCTTTGGATGTGGCTGTGACAGACAACAAGTAACTTCAGGTAGCATTTATCTGGAAAGAGACAGAAGGAGAGAAAGAGAAAAATGGAGAAAATTAGAGTCAGTAACAGAAAAAGATATAAACATTCAGAAAGTTACAGAAAGACAAAGACACAGGCACCCCACCCTATTACCACGAGATACAGGCACTGTGTATGAGTGTACACAGACACATACACCCTGAAAATGAGGTAAAGGGAGAGATGAGGGAGGAGACTGAGAGAAAAAAGGACACAAATGCCAAGTGAGGGAACAAAACTAAAATGTAGCGTGTAGTCCCAGCTACTTGGAGGCTGAGGCACGAGAATCGCTTGAGCCCAGAAGGCGGAGGTTGCAGTGAGCCAAGATCGCACCACTGCACTCCAGCTTGGGCTACAGAGTGAGACTCTGTCTCAAAAAAGAAAAAAAGGAAAAAAAAGAAAAAAAGAAAGAGCGGAGGTTTAATAAGCAACAGAAAGCAAAAAGAGAATAGCTCTCTCTCCTACAGGAAGAGAGGGGGCCTTCAGTGGATCTTCCTGTTCAGTGGTGAAATGCATGGGGTTTCATAGAGGAGCTTGAGGAGGCGGTGTCTGATTTACATAGGGCCCAGAGATTGGCTAGACTAGGTGTGCCATTTACATAGCGCAGGAAGAAGCTGACCATCCCACCCTACTCTTATTATGCAGATGGAATCTCTATCTGGCAGGCGCCAGGTTGCCTGCTCCTTATTGTACCTGTGGTTGACAAAGAAAAGAAAAGATGGAGCCACCAGGTTGAACATGCCTAGCCCCCAGGTAGCCTTTTCCTGTTGGCACAGCTACTGGCATTCCCCCGTGCAAGCTTCCAGCTTGCTTATCTATGTCTGCAGCTTGATTTTAAAGGCTGCTCTTTGTTAGAAAAGAAATGATTGGGGGCTGCTTTTCATTAAAAGGAAAACCTTACCGAGGACTTCCTTACCCTATCTGCCTAAACAATTTCTTTTTAACTCTTACATCAAAAAGGACCATGTATGGTTCAATAAATAGTATTGTAAGAGTTAAAGAGGAAAGAAACACAAAATGCAGCTGGCAGTTAAAGACAGGTTTACTTTAAATAAAAAATGAGAGGGGCTTCTGGCCAGTTTCAATCAGGAGCGCTTTCTCTTACAGACCAAGAGTATCTATTGGTTTTAGGGTGAGGGGGCTTATTACAAGGTTGGAATGTTTCTATGTGAGGGAGAAGTTTTATCGCGGGGTTGGAATGTCTCTGGGAGGAAGGGAGGTTATCTTGGGGCAAACATCTTTCTGGCTTGGAGAGGGGTTATCTCGGGGCTGGCATCTTCCCGGCCGGAGGTGGGTTATCTCGAGGCTAGCATGTCTCTGGTCGGGGAGGAGTTTGGAATGTTTCTGGTTGAAGATGTTATTTGTGGTTTATGGTCGTACTGACCTTAGCCATTAGGCTGGTGCCCTTTGGATTTAGGCGATTTTTTTATTAAGGTGAACTTTAGAATGAGAGGCTTGTCCAAGATGGAGATGCTCCTGCTCTGTCAGGTATTAGGACAACTAGTTATGAATTCAGAAGTCATTTAAGTGAATTCATAATCTCTCAACATATATGAAACAAAATATTAAGGCTCAGTGTAAGCAATATATCTTTTAAAATATTAATAGGTACAGATAGGACAATACTTTACAACTGTTTGATGCAGGGTGAGGGGAAGGCTAAGTAAAATTGGAAACCTAGAATTAGTAAAGAAAAATCTAACAGATTTGGCTACCTAAAAAGTTTAAACCTTTATAATTTTTGCCAACGGGAATGGGGAGATTTAAGAAGGTAGTATCCAATGCTAGCAGGAGTATTTGGCAACCTGGAAGTCTCCTCATCTAAATTAATATAACCTATGGGAAGGTAATTTGTCCATGAAATTATAAAATGTGCATTCCCTATAACCTAGCATTTTTTCCTAGGACACTAGCCCATGAATATAATAACATTAATTACAAAGCTATTATTATAGAATATTATAGCATGATTTAATTTTTGTGAAGTAAGGTATATGATATGCTTTGGCTCTGTGTCCCCACCCAAATCTCATGTTGAATTGTGATCCTCAGTGTTGGAGGTGGGGCCTGGTGGGAGGTGATTGGATTATGGAGGTGGTTTCTGATGGTTTAGGACCATCCCCCTAGTGCTGTCCTTTGATAGAGTTCTCATGAGATCTGGTTGTTTGAAACCGTGTAGCACCTCCCCTTTCTCTCTCTCTCTCTCTCTCTCTCTCTCTCTCTCTCTCTCTCTCTCTTTCTCTCTCTCTCCCTTGCCACCATTTGAAGGCATGCTTGCTTCCCCTTCACCTTCCGCCATGATTGTATAAGTTTCCTGAGGCCTCCACAGTCTCCTGTACAGCCTGTGGAACTGTGAGTCAATTAAACTTCTTTTCTTTCTAAATTACCCAGTCTCAAGTAGTTCTTTATAACAGTGTAAGAACGAATACAGAAAATTGGTAACGAGAATGTACATGTATATATGTGTGTGTAATGTATCTTTCACTGGGTCTGTATAAAATTAGGAAAAGATTGGAAAGGATAGGCACAAAAGGTACTATGAAAAATGGAGTTGAATGAGAGGGGAAAAGTTGTCATGTTTTTATATTTTTTCATTTCAAAAGTAGTAACTTTTACAATAATTAGGATGGTAATTTTAGCTACATCTATGAGGCTTTCATTTGTAAACTGAATAAAATATTTGACTTCAATTCTTTCTACCATAAATACATTTTTTTCAATTAGCCCACATATTCTTTAGTTTATAGCTCTATTTTTTACATCATAGTCACTAAATAAATATTTGTTGAATAAATAAATGGCCATTCTCTATCTTTTATTTGTCTGTGAGATTCTTTTCGTCTTTAAGTGTATTAACTAGTTTTGATTTCTATTGAGTTTGTTAGCACTAATTATTTATCAAATTTTTCAAGATTGTTTAATTACTTTCATTGATCTAGGGATTTAGCTACCTCTCAATTCCCCTTCTCCCTCCTACCTCCCATCTCTTCTCCACCGCCACCCTGGAAAGCAAAATTTGTTGGCATATTCTGTCTGTGTGCTCATTTTTAACCATTGATTTAAATATATTATAAGAAATGAATACTTTTCAAATGTGCAGTGTAATTATGTGAGACTATTTGAAGAACTGTTTCATCAATTTGAAGAGTAAATTATTGAACTTGATCATATCATATGTTTTATTATTCTAGGTAAAAAATAATTCCCCAATTAACCAGAAGGGGAAAAGATTAATTTAGTTGTGAAAATACAGAATTACATTTCTATAATTTTTAAAAAATGTGTTAGGCAAATCTGCACATCAAGTGTTTTTTGTATAGTGATAGTCAAAACTTTCTTGCTCACAGCCTATTTACTCACCGCCTATTTAAAGCCCCTATTTCTTAAATTCAGACTATTGTGTTTGTTTTATGATAAGTCGACAATCAAACTGACAATAAAGACTGTTTATGCTTCTCTGCAGAAAATCTGGCTATGTTTACCTAAGTGACGTACAGAGAGAAAGATTTCACAGGTGGAGTTTTGTTGTTGTTTATAACTTCTAATTATGCTCCCTGAATCATCTAAAGACTAGAAGGAAAACTAAACTGTGTTCTTTAAGTGCCTAAGGTGTGTGAGCTACCTGACATACACTATTTCATTTAATTCTAACAACGTACTATTAAACAGCTGCTATTATATCCATTTTAAAGATGAGAAAACTGAGGCTTAGAAAGAGTAATACTGGTTGAGCATCCCTAATCCAAAAATTTCAAATCTGAAATTCTCCAAAATTTGAAATCTTTTGAGCACTGGCATTATGTCACAAGTGGAAAATTTCACACTTGGCCTCATGTGACAGGTTACAGTCAAAACTCTGTTTCATGCACAAAATTATTTTAAAATATTATCTAAAATTACCTGCAGACCATGTGTATAAGATATATAGGAAATATAAATAAATTTTGTGATCAGATTTGGGTTCCATCCCTGAGATAGCTCATAATGTATATGCAAATATTCCAAACTGAAAAAATCTGACGTCCAAAACGCTTGTGGTCACAAGCATTTTGGATAAGGGATACTCAGCCTGTAACTTAACCAAGATCTCACAGACAGTAAATGTCAAATCCAAGCCCCAACCCAGGTCTATCTAACTCCAAAGTTTCTGCTTCTTTACCAAAAGGCGCCCCCTATGAAGTCTTAAATGTTGCTCAAATAAGAAAATTATTGCATGAATCTTCAAATAAGTCTCAGTTTTACCTTCTCATATTTCATAACAATCAAATTTCACAACAATCAAATCTCACAACTATCATCTTAAATACAATAGGATTTATCCTTACTTAAAATACAAACCTTATTTATTTCTCTTTAAAGTAGACCTTGTTTTTGTTTATAGAAATTCTCTGCTCACTGGAAAAAGAGGCAGTAAGAAGTGACCCATGCTCCAATTTAATTATGTTCACTTGTCTTCAGGATTTTTCTTGGCAATTTAAAATGAGCTAATAATGCAAACCAATTAACAAACAAAATGAGATTACACTCAGACAGCTAAGCTACCAGTAAATACAAATATTACTAATTAGGGTTTTAATTAGAATAAACTTTAAACCAAAGAAGGTATGGAGATAAACATGACAAGCACAGGTTAACATCAAAACAAACAACTATTTTGGCAGAAAATATATAAGTGTGCAGGTAAGTTCTGCAAAGTCTTATATGCCACCCCATAATCATATATCATCCTTTTAAACACCTTTGTTTCCAATTTTGAATACAAACATCAAATATCAAAGTTTTCAAGTTGAGCCAATATCAAGTCACACTCAGCCTTTGCAAATAGCCATACAACCACTCTAGGTCTTTGCTAACAACCATCACAAAGAGTATGCAAAAATTAAAGAAGTCAAATGTCTGAAACCATTTTCTTCATGTAGAAACATCTTGAGTTTTCTCTGGCAAACTCAAAGTTCCCTCTTAAAGCTCCTTGCCCAATTTCAGGGCATACGATAACCTTGAAACCCTTGGAGGACACGTTCAGCACCTGGAATAAAAAAGCAAAAAGGTTGTGTTATGAACAATGTAAAATAAGTCAGATAATAAACAGGGTGATTATTAATAGTATTTTTTTTTTGAGACAGGGTCTCACTCTGTCACCCAGGCTGGAGTGCAGTGGCGTGATCTCAACTTACTGCAGCCTCCACTTCCCAGGTTCAAACGATTCTCCCACCTCAGCCTCCTGAGCAGCTAGAACTACAAGCATACACCACCACAACTGGCTAATTTTTTTATTTTTTGCTAGAGATGGGGTTTCACCATGTTGGCCAGGATGGCCTCGAACTCCTGACCTCAAGTGATCCATCCACCTCAGCCTCCCAAAGTGCTGGGATTATAGGCATGAGCCACTGTGCCCAGCCATGAAGAGTATTAATACTATTAATTGTGTGCATAAACCTGTGATGGAGCCCCTGTTGTATAAAGTGCAATCACTGAGAAATTAAGGGAGGCAAAAAATTGCCACCAAACAAAAAGTCTAGTTTCAGACTAATTATCCAGCAATAGGAAAGCCCAATTGGCCATCTTGTCCATAGTACTATCATTGACAGCTAGGTTTAAAAAAATGTTTAGGACCAGCTGGGCGCGGTGGTTCACACCTGTAATCCCAGCACTTTGGGAGGCCGAGGCGGGTGGATCACGAGGTCAGCAGATCGAGACCATCCTGGCTAAAACGGTGAAACCCCATCTCTACTAAAAATACAAAAAATTTGGTGGGCGTGGTGGCAGGTGCCTGTAGTCCCAGCTACTCGGGAGGCTGAGGCAGGATAATGGCATGAACCCTGGAGGCGGAACTTGCAGTGAGCGGAGATCACGCCACTGCACTCCAGCCTGGGTGACAGAGTGAGACTCCCTCTCAAAAAAACAAAAAAAAAAAATTGTTAGGACCAATTGGGCATGGTGAGGAATGCCTATATATTGTAAAATTATGCAGCCATGAAAACTAATAAGGGGGTTCTTCATGCACTGATATGGAAATATTTCAAAAGCATAATATTAAAAGAAAAAATTAAGATACAAAACCAATATGTAAAATATTTCAGTTTTAAAAAACTAGGATGGGGGAAATTATGAATGCATTTGGATTGTATTTACACAAAATATCTCTGATAGAGCGAGAACTCACCCCCAGGAAGGACACTAATCTATTCATGAGGGATCCGCCCCCCATGACCAAAACACCTTCCATTAGGCCCCACCTCCAGCACTGGGGGTGGGATCACAACATGAGATTTGGTGGGGACAAACAAACTATATCCAAACTACAGCATTGACCAGTCAGGGTTCTGATTCCTGCCATCCAAATTGTCTGCCTGCTTTCAGGATCGTCTGTCAAATCAATCTCTATCTACCTAAATCCAGGACTCACTATTTCCTTTCATTCTTGTAGACTGCCAAAACCAGCAGCTTACCTTCTACCTAATATGACTTAAATATACAGACACATTTGCATTCCCAGGTGCTCACCAAGTTCCCCAGAGATTTTTCTGCTAATCAGCATCACCCATTCATTCCTTCTTCTTATCCCTCAGTCAGCTTTCCTACTCCTCATCTAATGCTGCCTATGTTTCACAGTAGTAAGACATTCACGTTCTAGTTTCTGAGAGTCAACTTCCTTTTTCTGGGAATAGCACACAACAATTAAACTTGGGGAGAACGGGAGGCTCAATAAGGAAACCAGCTAAGCATGAAAGGAAAAATTTTTGTATGCAAAGACTGTCAGTGCCATGCTGAGGGGCTTGGACCTCATTTGTTCTGTAGAAAAGCCTGGGAAGGAAGAACCGTAAACTCTCTAAGAGCACAGACTCTAGAGTTGGAATGCCTGGGTGTGGATCCTGACTCTGCCACACTTTTGTTAATATTACCACTGACTTTACCAGAAAAATCTGTAAGTATTAAGAGGCTGTCAAGCTCACAGTGCCACATACAAATTTCCAAAATTCCTAAAATTTGAAAGCTCAGAATTTATCATTGGCAGCAAATACTGTCAGTTGTGTTTTTTAAAGTAACAGGCTTGCTTTGTTCACTTTTTGAGAAAATGTCCACCAAATAATCAAATTTGAACAACCATAGTTGGTCTATCAGCATTTTTCAAGTAAAAATGGTTCATGGAGAAGCAGTTCAGCTCACAAATCAATCACACAGCACTTTTTGTCAATACAACCATCATATTTTGGTTCGCAGCAAAAGGTATGCATATTTCCTATTTTGTCACATAGAATATTAAAAATATGTGTAAAATGGGCCGGGTGCAGTGGCTCGTGCCTGTGATCCCAGCACTTTGGGAGGCTGAGACAGGCAGATCACCTGAGGCCAGGAGTTCAAGACCAGCCTGGCTAACATGGCAAAACCCCACCTCTACTAAAAAATACAAAATTTAGACAGGTGTGGTGGCACATGCCAGCTACTTGGGAGGCTGAGGCATGAGAATTATTTGAACCTGGGAGGTGGAGGTTGCAGTGAGCCAATCATGCCTCTGCACTCGAGCCTGGACAACAGAGTGAGACTCCATCTCAAAAAAAAAGGGGGAGTAAAATAAAAGTATAAAATGATGCTTTTCAATCCTGGAGAACAAATTAACACATACTAGAAAATACCACTCATAATTTATCTTTGCCCAGTAAAAGAGATTAAAGGTGAAAAATAAAATAAAAAATACATATATATATTTATAAATACCCATACATACCACCATCTATTTTCCAGTGTTTTATTTTTTACCAATATATTAATTTTCATGATACTTTGGGGAAATCTAAGATCTTAACTTAATTTTAACTGCAACTGAATTTTAATCATACAAATTATAATGAATCATATAAAATTATGATTAAACATCACAGTTTTTATTTTTGTGTTATTGCTCCCTTTAAAAAAAAAATACAGGAAACCAGGGGCTCTCATTTGGATATAAGTGTTGAAATCATTTGAGGAACTTAAAATTAAAAAATGAGACCAAAAAATGTGTACTCACAGGATTCAATAAAATTAATAATTTTAGTAAGATTAGTAAAATTAGCGATTTAGTAAAATAAATAATTTGTACTGCTCCATCAAAGCCATTCTTAAGTGAAACTCATTTTCTTTACTGTAAGTGTGTGGCAATGAAGAATAAAATTGGGCTGGGTGCGGTGGCTCATGCCTGTAATCCCAGCACTTTGGGAGGCTGAGGCGGGCAGATCACTTGAGGTCAGGAGTTGGAGACCAGCCTGGCCAACATGGTGACACTCCACCTCTACTAAAAATACAAAAATTAGTTGGGCATGATAGTGCACATCTGTAATCCCAGCTACTGGAGAAGCTGAGGCATGAGAATTGCTTGAACCCAAGAGGGGGTTGCAGTGAGCCAAGAGGGCACCACTGCACTCCAGCCTGGGCGACAGAGTGAGTGAGACTCCGTCTCAAAAAAAATCAAATCAAATCAAATAGCTGCTCACATACAGTTTGGTAGCATTCTCTTAATTTGCGCTCAGGATCAGCATTTTTATGCACCATTGCTTTGCATCATTAGTACAAATGTCAACAGAGTGAAAAAGACATTTTTTTTCATATTATTGTAAAAATAGGTTTGGTACTCCCTGTAAGTGTTTTGGGCACCATGAGATCTGCAGACCACACTTTGAAACTGCCGGTGTCTGTGAATATGATGAAGTCCTAAACTAGGCAGTGCAGTAGAATTGGAAAAGCAGGGCTGTATAGAAAAGAAATTTTTTGGGAGAATGCACATAGGATTTGGTAATGAAGTACATGAGAAAAGTACAAAAGAAGGGGGATCAATCTTGCTGAAGATGTCTGACTACCTGTTATCAACATAAGGAATAAAAGAAAGCTGCAAGATAGATTAGCAACGAGTCTGTTTATATGAGGTTTTGGAGACACCTCCAAAAAAATTGTTCATAAGACAAAAGAGACTCAAGGCACAATATTTTGCTTAGAGACAATGATTCTGAGTGTTGATGAGTTGATCACTCAAATTATCATCCAGGCCAGCTTTCCATGGACCTATGACTGACTACTAGATTGAGGTAATTGTAATTACAAATCTAGAAATGCTCAAAAGACACTTTTCACTAAATTTCCATCTAGACATCAGTAATAAAAGGTTCTAGCTACATTGGATGCTGGGACTGCAACAGCAACAAGAGATAACGCCTTCTGTACAAACATAGGATTCTTGACATCGGATAGCAAACTTGGTGGAGACATTGGTGGCTCTCAACAGAAGAGGTGGCATCTTAACAAGGATATTTGATATTATTCATTAATCCTGGAGCAAACATCAGCAGTCTCAATTCTGAACATTGTATTCCTTGGAATAAGCTTCATGGATCATCAGTAATATCACCAGCGGAGCAATCAGCAAGCATCAGCAAAGAGCTGCTTACTGGGTTCACAAGAGGATCTCCATCTGAGCCAGAGTAGGAAAATGGAACTGGTGGTAATCAAAGGGCTAATTCATGGAGAACCTGAGCAACAACTTCTAGAGGAAACGCCCAAGATTCTTTGTGAAACATTTAAAGCAGGATTAGTGTTCCCATAGAGATGTAAGAAAAGCCGGAAAAATACTGCTTTGAGGAGTTGTTTTTACTCCCTGGGTAATAAATGATGGATTATTAGATATAAACAAAACCCTAATATATGAAAATTAATTTTCTAATTATTCTTATCTCCCACAGACATTGGCTTGATCCAAAACTCTATTTTAACAATGACCTATTTTCTACAAGAAAATTTGGCTTAATTATGAATCAAAAAGCACAAAGATTCCCTTTTTCATAAAAAATCAGGCCAGGCACAGTGGCTCACACCTATAAATCCCAGCACTTTGGGAGGCTGAGGCGGGCAGATCACCTGAGGTCAGGAGTTCGAGACCAGCCTGGCCAACATGGAGAAACCCCATCTCTACTAAAAATACAAGCCATGGTGGTGTGTGCCTGTAATCCCAGCTACTCGGGAGGCTGAGGCAGGAGAATTGCTTGAACCAGGGAGGCGGAGGTTGTGGTGAGCCGAGACCGTGCCATTGCACTCCAGCCTGGGCAACAAGAACGAAACTCCATCTCAAAAAAAAAAAAAAAAATCATTTGCTGTGTTTTTATTTTATCCTCAAAGACTCCATCTGTGTCTGATCATTAGTGGTAACCAAATATTACTACATGGCCTTCTTTTAAATATCTATTTTTCACTCAATATAATATTAATCCTTGGAGGATTTAAGTTGCTTTGTCATGCTTTAGGATGGCTAATCTATCCAAAGCATCCTGTTTTAGAAAAAATGTATTACGTGTCTGCTGAAAAGTTCAGTAACCTGACCACAGCTAAAATACAATATTTTACATTGTACATAGGTTTCTTTTTTTGAGACGGAGTCTCACTCTGTCACGCAGGCTGGAGCGCAGTGGCACAATCTTGGCTCACTGCAATCTCCGCCTCCTGGGTTCAAGCATTTCTTCTGCTTCAGCCTTCCCAATAGATGGGATTACAGGCACCCGCCACCTTGCTCAGCTAATTTTTTAATTTTTAGTAGAGACAAGGTTTCACTATGTTGGCCAAGCTGGTCTTGAACTCCTGACCTCAAGTGATCTGCCTGCCTTGGCCTCCCAAGGTGCTAGGATTACAGGCGTGAGCCACCTCATCCGATCCTGTACATAGATTTCTAATGAAGATTTTTTTAAATACACGATTTACTATAAATTATAAAAGCCAAGAAGATAAATTAAAGAACTGTGAACATACAGTATGTGCTGAGTACTTATGAACTTTTGGTTATCCTCTATTATTTAACAAAGCGGGTCATGAATAGAAATCTCCAGCCACTCTCACCCTCCCAACAAATATCCAGCCACTCTGCCTTTTTTTGTCATGCCTCAGACATGCCAAGCTTGTTCTTCTCTGAAATATTTTACTCTTGAGATTTCTCCTTTTATTAGTTACGTATTTCTGCATAACAACATATCCCAAAACTTCATTATTTAAAAAATAAACTTTTATTATCCCCAAGTTCCCTTTGGTCAGAATTTCGGGAGGGGATTAGCTGGGTGCTCTGGCTTAGGATCTTTGATGAGGTTGCAGAAAGATGCACCCAGGGCAGCCATCATCTGAAGGCTTGACTGGGGAGCCTCCAAGATGCCTCACTCACACAGGTGGCAAGTTGGTACTGGCTGTTGGCAGGAGGCCTCAGTTCCATCACCTCCATAGAATTGCTTGAGTGTCCTCATGATTTGGCAGCTCGCTTCCCCCAGACAATGTCCCAGGAGATCAAAGGGGAAATGGCAATGTTCTTTATGTCCTAACCTCAGAATGTGGACACCACAACTTCCACTGTATTCTGCCAGTCACACAAACTAATCCTGATGCAGTGTGGAAGGGAATTCCATAGGGATGTAAATACCAGGAGGCAAGGACCACTGGTGTCATCTCAGAATGTGGCCACCACATCCCTCTCTCAGATCTTTTTACTTTTCCTTAGCTCATCTAATTCAGGTCTTTGCTGAAATGGGACCTCGTCTAAAGATCTTTCTACTTCTCTAAATTAGATTACCTTTGACCTATCACTTTCCTACATTATTTTTACAACACTTATCAATGCCTGGAATTCCATTATTTATTCACTTATGTGTTAACTTTTTATCATCTATCCCCCAAGCTTCATGATGAGAGTAACTTTGTCCACTTTGTTCACAATTCAGGCCATCACCAAGCACAGTGTCTAGCACAAAGTGGGTACCTCACAAATACCTTTTGAATAAATGAATGGTTTTTGAAGCAGGGGTAATGAGTTTACACTCAGCTCTTTATGGTCTTTCACAGTTTTGCAATTCTACATAGAGATAAACATTAGCAATAGCCTGAAGGATGATAAATCATAAGATCAGCGCTCCATTAAAAATAGTACTTATAAGTGAGTTATAGTGTTCATAAGTAATTAAGGTTTTCATTATTCAATATGAATGGTTTTTGCCTTTCTAAGGGAAATTTTCAGGATTTATTAAATACTTTAATTACTTTATGTAATATGAGAAAAGTAAATTATTTTAAATATTTAGGTATAATAAGAAACAGGGCTGGGTGCAGCAGCTCATGCCTGTAATCCCAGCACTTTGGGATGCCAAGGCAGGAGGATCACTTGAGCCCAGAGGTTTAAGACCAGCCTGGGCAACATGGTAAGATCCTGTCACTACAACTACAACAAAAACAAAAAAAGGTGGCACACGCCTAAGGTACTAGCTACTCCCAAGGCTGAAGTGGGAGGACTACTTGAGCTTAGGAACTTGAGGATGCAGAGAGCTGTCATTTGCACTATTGGACTCCAACCTGGACAACAGAGCAAGACCTTGTCTCAAAAAAAAAAAAAAATACAGTAAGCTATCAGAGGAGATAGCTTGGAAATAAATGTAGATGAAAGGAGATGTTAATTTTGGAAAGGGCTTAATCCCATGAAATACCATTACTTAAGTATGTAATACTTCAGCTTCTTGGAGCTTTTTATTATCTCAGTACCTGATGTACATATATATCATCTATCATTTTGTCACTGAACTAAATAAAGAAGTATGCTTATTTTAAATAGATAAATGATACTTTACTGACCGTGCTTTCTTACTTATATTTCTCTAGAAGGTAAAATTACAACTTGCCCTTTCCTTGCTAAGAAGAATATAATCAAAGTTAAAAACCTAATACTGAAGTTTCATCTAAAATGCTACTGTTTATACTCTGCACAAAAAATGATAGGAAATGGTCTGTCAGGCCAGCCGCGGTGGCTCATGCCTATAATCCCAACACTTGAAAAGGCTGAGGCAGATGGATCACTTAAGGCCAGGAATTGGAGACCAGCCTGCGCAACATGACAAAACCCCATCTCTACTAAAAATAGAAAAATTAGCTGGGCGTGGTGGCATAGGCCTATAATCCCAGCTATTCAGGAGGCTGAAGCACGAGAATTGTTTGAACCCGGGAGGCAGAGGTTGCAGTGAGCCAAGAATGCACCACTGTACTCCAGCCTGGGCAACAGAGCAAGACTCTGTCTCAGGGAAAAAAAAGAAAAGAAACGGTCTGTCAAATGCTCATTTATGCAAAGTCATTTGCACCTATGCAATTAGATTATCATGGAGACAATCTGCTCAGACTAATAGCTTTCATTGCAAATGAAATTATTCTAGTTTTAATCCATCTTAATTGAGTAGGAGAGCAGGAATGGGTAGGTGGGTCAGTAAATGAACCTCCAAGATCAAAGCAGATAAAAGGATGTTCATTCCAAAGTGGATCACTAAATAATTTTTTGGCACAGAGTAATAGAATCATTAAAATGGAAAAAAAAAATTAGAAATTATCTAATTCACCCTCTCAGCCAAAGCACAACTTTCCTCCACATAACTCAACCTCTATTTGAACTATAACTGTCATGGAGGTTACACATCTATATCCTCTTCTCTTCTTTTAAGCTTCTCTTCCCAGAATTAATGTTTCCCTTTCCTCCTATTCCTCATATGACATAATTTCCAGATTCCCTCATGTTAGTCCCTGGAACATGCCTTACTTAGTCAAAGTCTGCCTTTAAATCAGAACCTACAAGTTCTCCAATGGCGTGATCAGTGAAGAATAAAGTTGCCTTGTAATTTCTTATTCTTTGCAGAATAAATTTCATTAGTGTTTAAATAACTATGTGACACTGGTAGCACACAGTGAGCCTACAGTCAACTGAAGCTCCTAAATCCTTTTCACATGAACTGATGCTAAACCATAAATTCCCAAACCCGAATGTATTAAGTCAGTTTGCTAAATGTTTACATTTACTTTTATCCCAAAGAAATTTCATCTTGTTAGTCTACTTTCATTCATAGTAGCTGACTAATATTTAAATGAATCATTATTCAATGTAATATCCCAGGGCTGGGATTAGGGTGAGGCAAGTAAGGCACTCACCTCAAGCACAAAATTTAAGCTCTCAGGAATCAAGACAACTAATATTTGAAGGCAATCTTTTAAAAACTCAAAATCAATGCCAAAAATCTACGTTAAATAAAACATCAAAATTTTAAGCGAAAGTAGACTATTCTTGTTCATTTGTTTACTTTATGAGCCAGCACTATTGTGCAGCGGGAATAGTTTCCAAGCCACCTACAGTTCCCAGGGGCCATCGAGGCTCCCTGCCCCTGTCCCAGTGTGTTTATGAGGGCTGGCAATGACATGCAAACATACTGGACAAAGTGAAGTTTTATATGTAGTCATGGCATTTATTGTCAAGATTTTCGTTTTCCATTTGGTTTATAATATGGGAAGATATTTTCATAAAATATCTTCCAAATTTTACCAAAAATTTGGAGCACACATTTTTCCTTTCATCTTAGGCTCCATTTAGGCACATTACAGCACTGCAATCAGCATTTGCCCACATTCTCATCCTATCCCCAGATTTATGTTATCTGTACATTTGATAAATGTGCTTTTTGTATTTTTGCCTAAGGCACTGGTAAATATATTGATCTGAGAAATTCAAGTATAAATGCTAGTTCTCTGATTGAGAGAGCTTGCTCTAGTTTGAAAATAGTTCAAACAACTAAAAATTCACTTATTTGTCGTTATTTGTTTCACATTTCTTTATATTTCTGTACCTCAGAGGCACTCATGATTTACTAAGTTGAATTATAGTCAGCCTTCCATAGCCATGGGTTCTGCATCCATGATTCAACCAAGCTCAGGTGGAAAATACTTCGAAAAAAAATGGATGGTTGCATCTGTACTATAACATGTACAGGCTTTTTTCCTTGTCATTATTCCCTAAATGATACAATATAACAACTATTTACAAAGCATTTATATTGGATTAGATATTATAAGTAATCTAGAGATGATTTAAAGTATACAGGAGAATGTGCAGAGGTTTATGCAAATATGCAAGGCCTATTTTACATCAGGGCCTCGAGCATCCATGGATTTTGGTGTCCATGGGAGGTTCCGAAACCAATCCCTTTCAGATACCAACGGACAACTGTATACTCTGATTAACTTAAAATATGATTAATTAGAATTAACTTAAAATATGATTAATTAGAATACCTCATTTCACATGAAAGTTTTCACAAGAAAGTTTACAGTGTTTTGTAATTTTACTGTGTTTATACTTTTCATCTACACAGAAAAGAATCGCTAATTCCTTTATTTGATTTACTTGGAGCAATTACCTCTACAAATATTTTTTCTCTTCAGATAGCTACAGAGAAAGAAGGGGTGGACATTATAAGACATCACATTTTTATGAATAGAGAAAGAATTTTCTAACAACTAGAGATGTTCCTTAAATGTGAGGTAATGATTTCCCTGTCACTAGAAGTGTAAACAAAAGATATATACTATTTACTGTGGATGTCATAGCAGGAATTCAAAAGCATACATGGAATTTTAAATGGTTAAGATGACACATTTTATGTTATGTAAATTTTTCCATAATTTTTAAGTTGGGGGAAAAAAGTATAAGAGAAGCATGAATTCCATTACTCCAGAGGCTCTTTTCAACTCAAGAATCCTGTGATAAGACCACAAAGGATACGCAATATTATAAGTTTCCATACGACTAAAATTAGTGATTCTCTCCGCTTGATATTGTGTGTAACTCTGAATCAAAAGGACATTTGGAAGAGAAAAATGTAATCGTTTTCGTGATTTCAAACCCAAAGGCTAAACATGCATTCTAAATAACCCCAACTTCCTTCCAAACAATCTATAACACATCATTTTGTCTGTACCCCATGGAACCTATTCTGTTTTCTCCCTGCACCACCTTTCTGAATGGTGCATTCTATGGATTTACTCCTTAGATTGTAAAGCAAAACATTATGTTATTCTATTTGTTCTGAAATTGCTTCTTTCTTACTACTGAGGGAAAATTAAAAGTCATTTCTAGTGTCTCTCTATATATATAACTGGTTTCTCTACAGTAGTGGTCCTCAAACTGTTTGTTCATTAAAATCACCTGGAAACCTGGAACGTCTTTAAAATGGTGATGCCTAGACTCCACCTCTGACCAATTAAATCAGCTTCTCCTAAGGAGCCTGAGTAAGAGTATTTGTTAAAGTTTCCAGATGTTTTTAATGTGCACCAAGAGTTGAGAACCGCTGTTATATCGGTGTATTGTACTTTCTTCCTGTCTCTCTCTCTCTCTGGCACAGGGGGAGCTTAAAAATAATAACAAAAACAGTCAAAGTTTCCCTGCATATGACTGATTCCATGCCAGTAACTGAGACACAGGTGCAATCAGAATATTTTAAGTGCCCAAAGAGGATAAAGTGTCAATCGTTGGTTTCCAAAAGGAGTTTTACTCCCTCCACATAAATAAATGAAAGATAAAGAAATACTGCTTTTTCTAAACTAGACTGAAAATAAAATAATCCTGATTCAGTTTGGGTATTGCTTGTTTTTACTATAAAACACACTTGAGAAATGAGTCGACATAACTTGGGAAACTCTTAGTGTGTCACAGTGTCTTGACTGCTGGTCTGTCATATCATAGCACCAATACTGGTAAGCAACAAAAATAATAACGATAATGCTTTTTATATCTTGGATGATTTTCATTTTAAGAACTCAGTTATAATTCCATTGTTTGAATTACTTATTCAAAAATATGCATTTGTCAAATCTATAAAATAAACAATCTAAAAATCTAACAGTAGGCCAGGCACGGTGGCTCACACCTGTAATCCTAGCACTTTGGGAGGCTGAGGCAGTTGGATCACCTGAGGTCAGGAGTCCGAGACCAGCCTGGCCAACATGGGGGAAGGCTGTTTCTACTAAAAATACGAAAATTAGCCGGGCGTGGTGGCAGATGCCTGTAATCCCCACTCCTCAGGAGGCCGAGGCAGGAGAATTGCTTGAACCCAGGGGGTGGAGGTTGCAGTGAGCCAAGATTACACCACTGTACTCCACTCTAGGCAAAAGAGCAAGACTCCATCTAAGAAAAATAAAATAATAAAAATCTAACAATAGGGGATGGGCTCAACAAATCATGGATAAAAAATAGATACATATTAAAGTAGACTAATACTGTTGTATAAAAAAAATGAGGTTTCAGTACAGCATAAACACAACGATCCCATTTTTTAAAATACATACAGATCAAATATAGATATATATATTTCATATATATTATGTAGCTTTCCATATATAGGTTGATATGGCTATATATCCGAATACATGGAATAATTTATAATTGTATGTATAATTTTCTATGTGTTTGCTGTTTATCTTGGGGCGTATAACTTTTACTCTTTTTTTAATATAATAGAGACAGGGTCTCGCTGTGTTGTCCAGGCTGGTCTTGAACTCCTGGCCTCAAGCAATCCTCCCACCTCAGCCTCCCAAAGTGCTGGGATTACAGACATGAGCCACCATGCCTGGCCTTAAAATTTTTACATTTTTGTTTCATTTTTTAATTATGTTATTTTTATTTTCCATTTTTTGTATAATGAACAATGAATTAATTGTGTAATAA
Source organism: Homo sapiens (assembly GCF_000001405.40). Lineage (NCBI taxonomy): Eukaryota > Metazoa > Chordata > Mammalia > Primates > Hominidae > Homo > Homo sapiens. The sequence goes on along the minus strand of NC_000012.12, from coordinate 32,967,296 downwards.
AGAAATAGCAAAAGATTTTATAAATCCATATGGCTTGAAATAGTACCAATTTTTGTTATGCTGTAGTTGAAATATAGAAACCTACAAAGGATTACCTTCAAAGAAGCAGCAAAACTGCTTTAAACTTTTTCCCCTACACTATTTTTCTGCCTTTTTCTTCATTCTTTTCAGGAATTAGTGTATATGCCATTTTTAGATGGAGCAAATATTTTGTTAGATTACAAGAGATGAGTGGGACAGTATGGGAATGTCTGGATTATCTGATGGCATACTCTATAATTCAATATATCATGTCTCAAGTCATCACTAAGATAATCGGGGAGAGGGATTTGGGGGCAGAGGAATGAGAACTACTGAGTTCATAGTCCAATTCAGCCTCTGGAAATCTTAAGCAATTCTTCAAAGTTAATCCAAATTTCACCTACTACTGAAGCCTTCTAACCAATCCACTAATCTCTCCCTTTTCTGAAGTCTGACAGACTTTTGCCTGCGGAACACATTTAGAATTCAATTCAATCTTTAATTATGTTGATATTTCACTTTTCATATGTGTAAAACTGCCCTTTCCAATGAGAATATGAGCAAACTAAGGACAAGACTGTATCCCACCATGTTAAGCACACAACTGGTCAGTACCTACATTTCATATTCATGAGGGGATAGTGTCTTCACAATGGAGCTTGCTCAGTTGCCCTCACATCACAAGAGGTCCAAGTTTCTAGTAATCTCCTGGTACATGCAGCTAAATCAGTGAGTCTGTTCAATAATCTGTCACAGAAGAATATGCCATAGCATGTTAATCCATTGTTATCTGGTTGTATACACATTGCTTAATTAAGTGAGAAATGCTTTTCTTAGGTATAACAGATGAATTTAGGGCAGGTCTTCCTAAAATTTGTTTGGGGGAGTAGGAAACCATTAAATTACTCTTAAAAAAAAAAAAGAAAAAAGTTTTTCATGGTGAAACAGGAATGAAAAATGAAGCGAGGCACAGGGGCTCATGCCTGTAATCTCAGCATTTTGGAAGGCTGAGATGGGTGGATTGCCTGAGCTCAGGAGTTTGAGACCAGCCTAGGCAACATGGCAAAACATCATTTCTACAAAAAATACAAAAATTAGCTGATGGTGGCACGCACCTGTAGTCCCAGCTACTTGGGAGGCTGAGGCAGGAGGATCACTTGGTCCCAGGAGGTCAAGGCTGCAGTGAGCCGTGATAGTGCCACTGCACTCCAGCCAGACCCTGTCCCCCCACCAAAAAAAAATGAACAACCTACATCCATTAGCCAACTCAGAAATTCACACTGTGCATTAATATATTCCTGTGAATTTTTATAGTAAGTAAATCTGCATAATTTACTTTAACTCAGCATTTTTCAATGAAATCATTTGTTGCATAGCATTTAATAACATCCTGCAAAACAGACGTTGGGAAATGCTGATTGTGAGATTCAGATTTCCATTTTCTCTTTCTTAAAGGTCATACCAAAATATCCCACTTTATCACTGAGTTATCGCCGTAAAGTTTGTTAGGATTAATGAAGAGGAACATTAACATCATAAACCTTTGTTGTATTCAAAGTTCTCCTTAAAGATTTACCATATGGAAGATTAGTGTCTGGAGAACCAAATAAACAATCTATATATTTTAAGGTTGTTAGAAACAAGGACGATCATTTAATTTACCAGCAAGACTCCACAGTGCACAGAAGGCTGTCAACTTTCTATTCGCTAGTATGTTTCCCAGAGGTTCGTTCTCTTTCTCTGGTTCAACTGTCAGATTACAATGGTAATACTTTAAAATATTCTATCGACACCAAAGGAAGCTGAGGATTATGCACGGTGAGACTGCTTGACAAGAAAGAATGATGGAAAAGAACACCTATCCTGACAAAGAACAAAACCTTCTAGCTACGCTTAAAATATTAAAATATGGTTTGCAGCAGCTTCTGTCCCTCTGTGAAAACAGAGAAAGATGGTGAAAGCATAAGGCTGGAATAGGGTTCCGGATGCCATAGTAACGGCATCTTCAGTGATGACATTATGTACCACCTGGTGCTCTCCTGACTAAATTGCAGCATTATGCCTCAGTATTCACCAAGGTAGGACAAAGCCTAGGCATAAAACAGAACAACCACATTAAAGCAACAATTCACCCACAGGTTTGAGTAGGACGCATCAATTGCTTTTCATTTTCCTAATAATGTCCTTCATGCTACCAGGTGGTGGCACGATGGCAAGATTTATGAGCAGAGCCAAATTGAAAGCACTCTAAAAGCAAAAGAGAGAAGTATAAATATGTAAATCACAAACCTACATAGAAGACTCTACTGTAGTCTAATTATTTCAGTAAGAAATTCTTGCTGAACTTTTAGTCTATTTAGTAACAGGTGCTAGAGCAGAGGCTGAATAACCACTTTAGGAAAACATGGAGGAGGGCTAGATAAGACCAAGGACTCGATGACCTATTAGTACCCTCCCCACATTAAAATGCAATGCTTCTGTGGCACAGTTGCAACGTTTCACATTAGCTCTGAACAACCTACTAAATAAACGTAATAACAACTTTCCATCTACCCATCAATATGAAACCCTTTATGGTATTGTAAACTTACTCAAATAGAGCAGCTATTTGAGTAGTTCACTGTGGGCTCTAATTCCATTCCTAGGCAAACCAATATTCATTCAACAAGCATCTGTTCATTGGGAATTTGTTTTATGTGTAGCGCTGTAAGTGCTGTGAAAGATACATCTCATTATTATTCACCAAATCTTTCTGGCTCTCTCCGTGCAGGGTACATGGTGGGTACTTCCTGTCCCTCTTTGAAGTTAAGCATGGACATGTGACTTGTTTGGGAATATGGAATATGTACTCATATGGGTACAAAGAAAGTGCATTACTTCCAAGCAGAAGGTTTAAGCGTCAGTGTGGCACGGTCCCTGCTTCTGTGATCATGGAAGCACATGTCAAAATAGTCTCCTTCACCCTGACTCCTCAGGTCACTTCACTGAGCTATCCCCACTGCCAACCCATGTTGAACATGAAATCAAACAAAGATATAAACTTTTGTGTTAAGTGACTGAGATTTGGACTGTTTGTTGCCACAGTATAATCTAGCCTTTCCTATCTGGTAAGAAAATCTAGCCTTTCCTACCTGGTAAGAACTCCAGGCTGGAGTTCAAAACCACCCTGGCCAACATGGTGAAACGCCACCTCTACTAAAAGTACAAAAATTACCTGGTAGTGGTAGCACATGCCTGTAATCCCAGCTACTTGGGAGGCTGAGGCAGGAGAATAGTTTGAACCCAGGAGGCAGAGGTGGCAGTGAGCAGAGACCGCACCACTGCACTCCAGCCTGGGCAACAAAGCAAGACTCCGTCTCAAATAAAAACATCAATTTAGACCCAATTTAATTAGCAATAATGACATAAATGGGTCTTGAGCCAAATCTGTAAGATTTAGTGGCATTTTAATGAATAAAAAGAACAGGGAACACAATAGAGGCTGAAGACACTGCACAAGCCAACAGACAGGAAGGAAACTATTAGAAGACAGGTTCAGGCCAGGCGCAGTGGCTCACGCCTGTAATCCCAGCACTTTGGGAGGCCGAGGCAAGTGGATCACTTGGGTCAGGAATTTGAGACCAGCCTAACTAACATGGTGAAACCCCATCTCTACTACAAATATGAAAATTATCTGGGTGTTGTGGCACATGCCTATAATCCCAGCTACTTGGGAGGCTGAGGCAGGAGAATCTCTTGAACCTGGGAGACAGAGGCTGCGGTGAGCTAAGATCTCACCACTGTACTCCAGCCTGGGTGACAGAGTGAGACACTATCTCAAAAAAAAAAAAGAAAGAAGAAAGAAAGAAAGAAAGAAAGAAAGAAAGAAAGAAAGAAAGAAAGAAAGAAAGAAAGGTAACAGGTGCTGCTATAACAGAGGATCCCAATAGAAAAGAATGGAAAAGGAAATAAGTGGGTCATGGGCTTTTCATGGGCTTTTTCCTGTGGAACTAATTCTAAAATATAGGGGTAAATTATAAAATTCCAATTAGATCTAGAATAACACCTTGAGAAATGCACTTAGGATGATTATAAACAGATTTGAAAATACTACAATCAAAATTAAGATCCTCCAGGGCCATAATGTTTTACCTCAGGATGGGAATTAACCACTCTATTACACTTAAATTCAGTTGTAAATTTTCCCAAGTTAAGCACATGTCTAGGCCAACAAGATGGAAAGGGGTTACCATGCAGGCAGCAAGGTCAGATGAATAACTCCATCCTCAACCTGGGACAGTTGTCATCATCAGAACTCCTCAGTCAACCTTAATTCCAAAGCTGGTAACTGAAATTCTCACAGTTTATAGTCTATTTAGACTGAATAGTAGAAAACTGAACTATTTCAGATGGAAGAAAGATGAGTTAGAATATTTGAGAAAAAAATTGGTTCCTGAGTGTTCCTTAATATATAGTAGATGTTGAATAAATGAAATTTGATTTATGAGAATCCCTATGGGCAGGAAGGCAGCAATGTATAGAGCATGTTTAAATTGCATCAAAGGTTATGGAAGCTCCAAGTACAAGAGAAAATAGGAAAGTAGCTGGCAAATATAGTTTTTGTGAAAAGAATCAGCCAAATAATCAATCAATAAATTAAAGTGTTAGAATTAGAGTCAGATTGTGGATGGGTTTGAAAGCTGATGTCCAAAAGGTATGGGGAGATACCAGAGGCTTTTGAACAGAGGTATAATATAACTTAATTCATTTATTTTTATTGATTACATTTGCTTAGTGATTTGTTTCTTTTTATGTTCCCCCACAGTGCTAAAAATTGGTGAAACTACTGAAAAGCAATTGTTTAGAGGTCTTTTTTTAATATAATAAATTCTTTTTTTTTTCTTTTCAAACAGCGAGCACCTCAGTTTACTTCACATAGATTTCAACGTGAGATTTATTTTTTTAATTTTATTATTATTATACTTTAAGTTTTAGGGTATATGTGCACAACGTGCAGGTTTGTTACATATGTATACATGTGCCATGTTGATGTGCTGCACCCATTAACTCGTCATTTAGCATTAGGTATATCTCCTAATGCTATCCCTCCCCCCTTCCCCCACCCCACAACAGTCCCCAATGTGTGATGTTCCCCTTCCTGTGTCCATGTGTTCTCATTATTCAATTCCCACCTATGAGTGAGAATATGCGGTGTTTGGTTTTTTGTCCTTGCAATAGTTTGCTGAGAATGATGGTTTCCAGCTTCATCCACGTCCCTACAAAGGACATGAACTCATCATTTTTTATGGCTGCATAGTATTCCATGGTGTATATGTGCCACATTTTCTTAATCCAGTCTATCTTTGATGGACATTTGGGTTGGTTCCAAGTCTTTGCTATTGTGAACAGTGCCACAATAAACATACATGTGCATGTGTCTTCATAGCAGCATTATTTATAATCCTTTGGGTATATACCGAGTAATCGGATGGCTGAGTCAAATGGTATTTCTAGTTCCAGATCCCTGAGGAATCACCACACTGACTTCCACAATGGTTGAACTACTTTACAGTCCCACCAACAGTGTAAAAGTGTTCCTATTTCTCCACATCCTCTCCAGCACCTGTTGTTTCCTGACTTTTTAATGATCGCCATTCTAACTGGTGTGAGATGGTATCTCATTGTGGTTTTGATTTGCATTTCTCTAATGGCCAGTGATGATGAGCATTTTTTCATGTATCTTTTGGCTGCATAAATGTCTTCTTTAGAGAAGTGTCTGTTCATATCCTTCACCCACTTTTTGATGGGGTTGTTTGTTTTTTTCTTGTAAATTTGTTTGAGTTCATTGTAGATTCTGGATATTAGCCCTTTGTCAGATAAGTATGTTGCAAAATTTTTCTCCCATTCTGTAGGTTGCCTGTTCACTCTGATGGTAGTTTCTTTTGCTGTGCAGAAGCTCTTTAGTTTAATTAGATCCCATTTGTCAATTTTCGCTTTTCTTACCATTGTTTTCAGTGTTTTAGACATGAAGTCCTTGCCCATGCCTATGTCCTGAATGGTATTGCCTAGGTTTTCTTCTAGGGTTTTTATGGTTTTAGGTCTAACATGTAAGTCTTTAATCCATCTCAAATTAATTTTCATATAAGGTGTAAGGAAGGGATCCAGTTTCAGCTTTTTACATATGGCCAGCCAGTTTTCCCAGCACCATTTATTAAATAGGGAATCCTTTCCCCATTGCTTGTTTTTCTCAGGTTTGTCAAAGATCAGATAGTTGTAGATATGCGGCATTATTTCTGAGGGCTCTGTTCTGTTCCATTGGTCTATATCTCTGTTTTGGTACCAGTACCATGCTGCTTTGGTTACTGTAGCCTTGCAGTATAGTTTGAAGTCAGCTAGTGTGATGCCTCCGGCTTTGTTCTTTTGGCTTAGGATTGACTTAGTGATGCGGGCTCTTTTTTGGTTCCATATGAACTTTAAAGTATTTTTTTCCAATTCTGTGAAGAAAGTCATTGGTAGCTTGATGGGGATGGCATTGAATCTATAAATTACCTTGGGCAGTATGGCCATTTTCACGATATTAATTCTTCCTACCCATGAGCATGGAATATTCTTCCATTTGTTTGTGTCCTCTTCTATTTCATGGAGCAGTGGTTTGTAGTTCTCCTTGAAGAGGTCCTTCACATCCCTTGTAAGTTGGATTCTTAGGTATTTTATTCTCTTTGAAGCAATTGTGAATGGGAGTTCACTCATGATTTGGCTCTCTGTTTGTCTGTTGTTGGTGTATAAGAATGCTTGTGATTTTCGCACATTGATTTTTTATCCTGAGACTTTGCTGAAGTTGCTTATCAGCTTGAGGAGATTTTGGGCTGAGATGATATACAATCAAGATATACAATCATGTCATCTGCAAACAGGGACAATTTGACTTCCTCTTTTCCTAATTTAATGCCCTTTATTTCCTTCTCCTGCCTGATTGCCCTGGCCAGGACTTCCAACACTATGTTGAATAGGAATGGTGAGAGAGGGCATCCCTGTCTTGTGCCACTTTTCAAAAGGAATGCTTCCAGTTTTTGTCCATTCAGTATGATATTGGCTGTGGGTTTGTCATAGATAGCTCTTATTATTTTGAGGTATGTCCCATCAATACCTAATTTATTGAGAGTTTTTAGCCTGAAGGGCTGTTGAATTTTGTCAAAGGTCTTTTCTGCATCTATTGAGATAATCGTGTGGTTTTTGTCTTTGGTTCTGTTTACATGCTGGATTACATTTATTGATTTGCATACGTTGCACCAGCCTTGCATCCTAGGCATGAAGCCAACTTGATCATGGTGGATAAGCTTTTTGATGTGCTGCTGGATTCGGTTTGCCCATATTTTATTGAGGATTTTTGCATCAATGTTCATCAAGGATATTGGTCTAAAATTCTCTTTTTTTGTTGTGTCTCTGCCAGGCTTTGGTATCAGGCTGATGCTGGCCTCATAAAATGAGTTAGGGAGGATTCCCTCTTTTTCTATTGATTGGAATAGTTTCAGAAGGAATGGTACCAGCTCCTCCTTGTGCCTCTGGTAGAATTCGGCTGTGAATCCATCTGGTCCTGGACTTTTTTTGGTTGGTAAGCTATTAATTATTGCCTCAATTTCAGAGCCTGTTATTGGTCTATTCAGAGATTCAACTTCTTCCTGGTTTAGTCTTGGGAGGGTGTATGTGTCGAGGAATTTATCCATTTCTTCTAGATTTTCTACTTTATTTGTGTAGAGGTGTTTATAGTATTCTCTGATGGTAGTTTGTATTTCTGTGGGATCAGTGGTGATATCCCGTTTATCATTTTTTATTGCATCTATTTGATTCTTCTCTCTTTTCTTCTTCATTAGTCTTGCTAGCAGTCTATCAATTTTGGTGATCCTTTCAAAACACCAGCTCCTGGATTCATTGATTTTTTGAAGGGTTTTTTGTGTCCCTATTTCCTTCAATTCTGCTCTGATCTTAGTTATTTCTTGCCTTCTGCTAGCTTTTGAATGTGTTTGCTCTTGCTTCTCTAGTTCTTTTAATTGTGATGTTAGGGTGTCAATTTTAGATCTTTCCTGCTTTCTCTTGTGGGCATTTAGTGCTATAAATTTCCCTCTACACACTGCTTTGAATGTGTCCCAGAGATTCTGGTATGTTGGGTCTTTGTTCTCGTTGGTTTCAAAGAACATCTTTATTTCTGCCTTCATTTCGTTATGTACCCAGTAGTCAATCAGGAGCAGGTTGTTCAGTTTCCATGTAGTTGAGCGGTTTTGAGTGAGTTTCTTAATCCTGAGTTCTAGTTTGATTGCACTGTGGTCTGGGAGACAGTTTGTTATAATTTCTGTTCTTTTACATTTGCTGAGGAGTGCTTTACTTCCAACTATGTGGTCAATTTTGGAATACGTGTGGTGTGGTGCTGAGAAGAATGTATATTCTGTTGATTTGGGGTGGAGAGTTCTGTAGATGTCTATTAGGTCCACTTGGTGCAGAGCTGAGTTCAATTCCTGGATATTCTTGTTAACTTTCTGTCTCGTTGATCTGTCTGATGTTGACAATGGGGTGTTAAAGTCTCCCATTATTATTGTGTGGGAGTCTAAGTCTCTTTGTAGGTCACTAAGGACTTGCTTTATGAATCTGGGTGCTCCTGTATTGGGTGCATATATATTTAGGATAGTTAGCTCTTCTTGTTGAATTGATCCCTTTACCATTATGTAATGATCTTCTTTGTCTCTTTTGATGTTTGTTGATTTAAAGTCTGTCTTATCAGAGACTAGGATTGCAGCCCCTGCCTTTTGTTTTCCATTTGCTTGGTAGATCTTCCTCCATCCCTTTATTTTGAGCCTATGTGTGTCTCTGCATGTGAGATGGGTTTCCTGAATACAGCACACTGATGGGTCTTGACTCTTTATCCAATTAGCCAGTCTGTGTCTTTTAATTGGAGCATGTAGCCCATTTACATTTAAGGTTAATATTGTTATCTATGAATTTGATCCTGTCATTATGATGTTAGCTGGTTATTTTGCTCGTTAGTTGATGCAGTTTCTTCCTAGCCTTGAAGGTCTTTACAATTTGGCATGTTTTTGCAGTGGCTGGTACCGGTTGTTCCTTTCCATGTTTAGTGCTTTCCTCAGGAGCTCTTTTAGGGCAGGCCTGGTGGTGACAAAATCGCTCAGCATTTGCTTGTCTGTAAAGGGTTTTATTTCTCCTTCACTTATGAAGCTTAGTTTGGCTGGATATGAAATTCTGGATTGAAAATTCTTTTCTTTAAGAATGTTGAATATTGGCCCCCACTCTCTTCTGGCTTGTAGAGTTTCTGCCGAGAGATCAGCTGTTAGTCTGATGGGCTTCCCTTTGTGGGTGACTCGACCTTTCTCTCTGGCTGCCCTTAACATTTTTTCCTTCATTTCAACTTTGGTGAATCTGATAATTATGTGTCTTGGAGTTGCTCTTCTCAAGGAGTATCTTTGTGGCATTCTCTGTATTTCCCGAATTTGAATGTAGGCCTGCCTTGCCAGATTGGGGAAATTCTCCTGGATAATATCCTGCAGAGTGTTTTCCAACTTGGTTCCATTCTCCCCGTCACTTTCAGGTACACCAATCAGACATAGATTTGGTCTTTTCATATAGTCCCATATTTCTTGGAGGCTTTGTTCATTTCTTTTTATTCTTTTTTCTCTAAACCTGTCTTCTTACTTAATTTCATTCATTTCATCTTCCGTCACTGATACCCTTTCTTCCAGTTGATCTCATCGGCTACTGAGGCTTGTGCATTCATCACGTAGTTCTCGTGCCCTGGTTTTCAGCTCCATCAGGTCCTTTAAGGACTTCTCTGCATTGGTTATTCTAGTTAGCCATTCGTCTAATTTTTTTTCAAGGTTTTAAACTTCTTTGCCATTGGTTTGAACTTCCTCCTTTAGCTTGAAGTAGTTTGATCTTCTGAAGCCTTCTTCTCTCAACTCAGCAAAGTCATTCTCCATCCAGCTTTGTTCCATTGCTGGTGAGGAGCTGTGTTCCTTTGGAGGAGGAGAGGTGCTCTGATTTTTAGAGTTTCCAGTTTTTCTGCTCCGTTTTTTCCCCATCTTTGTGGTTTTATCTACCTTTGGTCTTTGATGATGGTGACGTACAGATGGGTTTTTGGTGCAGATGTCCTTTCTGTTTGTTAGTTTTCCTTCTAACGGACAGGACCCTCAGCTGCAGGTCTGTTGGAGTTTGCTGGAGATCCACTCCAGACTCTGTTTGCCTGGGTATCAGCAGTGGTGGCTGCAGAACAGCGGATATTGGTGAACTGCAAATGCTGCTGCCTGATCGTTCCTCTGGAAGTTTTGTCTCAGAGGAGTACCCAGCCGTGTGAGGTGTAAGTCTGCCCCTACTGGGGGGTGCCTCCCGGTTAGGCTACTCAGGGGTCAGGGACCCACTTGAGAAGGCAGTCTGCCCGTTCTCAGATCTCAAGCTGCGTGCTGGGAGAACCACTACTCTCTTCAAAGCTGTCAGACAGGGACATTTAAGTCTGCAGTGGTTACTGCTGCCTTTTGTTTGTCTGTGCCCTGCTCCCAGAGGCAGAGCCTACAGAGGCAGGCAGGCCTCCTTGAGCTGTGGTGGGCTCCACCCAGTTCGAGCTTCCTGGCTGCTTTGTTTACCTACTCAAGCTTCCCTGCTGCTTTGTTTACCTACTCAAGTCTCGGCAACGGCGGGCGCCCCTCCCCCAGCCTCACTGCCACCTTGCAGTTTGATCTTAGACTGCTGTGCTAGCAATGAGCGAGGCTCCGTGGGTGTAGGACCCTCCAAGCCAGGTGCGGGATATAATCTCCTGGTGTGCCATTTGTTAAGCCCGTTGGAAAAGCGCAGTATTAGGGTGGGAGTGATCCAATTTTCCAGGTGCTGTCTGTCACCCCTTTCTTTGACTAGGCAAGGGAATTCCCTGACCCCTTGTGTTTGCCGGGTGAGGTGATGCCTTGCCCTGCTTCAGCTCACATATGGTGCACTGCACCCACTGTCCTGCACCCACTCTCCAGCACTCCCCAGTGAGATGAACCCGGTACCTCAGTTGGAAATGCAGAAATCACCCATCTTCTGCATCACTCATGCTGGGAGCTGTAGACTGGAGCTGTTCCTAATTCGGCCATCTTGACTCCACCTCCGTAAATTCTTTAAACAATGCTAAAATGTTTTGAGTGGAAGTAGTTTTTTATTATAAATGTACTTCAAAAGCATTTCCTATATTAGATTTAGAAAATATAATTTTGGCCAGGCATGATGGCTCATGCCTGTAACACTTTGGGAGGCTGAGGCAGGAAGATTGCTTGAGGCCAGCATTCCAGACCAACCTGGGCAACATAGCAAGATCTTGTCTCTACAGAAAATTTTTTAAATAGCCAGATGTGTCTGGGCACTGTGGCTGACACCTGTAATCCCAGTACTTTGGGAGGCCAAGGCGGGCAGATCACCAGGTCAGGAGTTTGAGACCAGCCTGACCAATATGATGAAACCCTGTCTCTACTAAAAATACAAAAATTAGCCAAGCATGGTGGCGTGCACCTGTAATCCTGCTACTCAGGAGGCTGAGGCAGGAGAATCGCTTGAACCCAGGAGGCAGAGGTTGCAGTGAGCCGAGATCGCGCCACTGCACTCCAGCCTGGGCAGCAGAGTGAGACTCTGTCTCAAAAAAAATAATAATAAGTAGCCAGATATGGTGGCTCTAGTCCTAGTTATGCAAGAGGCTGAGATAGGAGGATCACTTGAGCCCAGGAGTTCGAGGTAGTAGTGAGCTATGATTGCACCACTGCACTTCAGCCTGAGAAACAAAGAGAGAGAGAGAGAGAGAAAAGGAAGGAAGGAAGGAAGGAGGGAGGGAGGGAGGGAGGGAGGGAGAGAGGGAGGAAAGGAAAGGAAAGGAAAGGAAAGGAAAGGAAAGGAAAGGAAAGGAAAGGAAAGGAAAGGAAAATGTAACTTTTAAAAAGATATCCACTATAGTAAATAATAATAACAATAGCTTTATAAAACCTCAGATGAAACCTAACAAAAGAAATGTAAAAATAACAAAGGTGTATGTGAATTATGTCCCAATAAAACTATTTTTTAAAATATATGCAGTTTTATTTTATTTATTGTAATATCGTTAGCTTCTGACAAGGTAACACCAAGAGGTACTGGACAAATAGTTATGACATTTGTAACTTGGCAACATTTTTTTAAATTTTACTTTAAGTTGTGGGATACATGTGCAGAATGTGCAGGTTTGTTACATAGGTATACATGTGCCATGGTGGTTTGCTTCACCTATCAATCCATCATTTAGGTTTTAAGCCCTGCATGCATTAGGTATTTGTCCTAATGCTATCCCTCCCCTTGCCCCCCATCCCACAATAGGCCTCAGGGTGTGATGTTCCCCTCCCTGTGTCTATGTGTTCTCATTGTTCAACTCCCACTTACGAGTGAGAACATGCGGTATTTGGTTGTCTGTTGCTGTGTTAGTTTGCTGAGCCCAATAAAGCTCTTACCAAAAAAGCAAATTAACATAAAAAATACATAGATTTAGAAATAATGCTTTCTTTCTTTCTTTCTTTTTTGTTAAGAGACAGATTCTTGCTCTGTCACCCAGGCTGGAGTGCAGTGGTGCAATCAAAGGTCACTATAAACTCGAACTCCTGCCCTCAAGCCCCAAGGGATCCTCCTGCCTCAGCCTCCTGAGTAGTTTGGACTACAGGCACCTGCTATAATGCCCAGCTAATTTTTTTTTTTTTTTTTTTTTTTGTGGAAACAGGGTCTCACTATGTTGCCCAGGCTGGTCTTGAACTCCTGGCCTCAAACTATCCACCCACCTAAACTTCCTAAAGTGCTGGGATTATAGGTGTGAACCACTGTGTCTGGCCTTATGTAACATTTTGGTATATGTTCTTCAAAATGTTTTTAAAGAAAATAGAGTATACTATGCATACTATTATGAAATCTGCTTTTCTGTTTTGACATATTGAGACTATTTTTCCAAGTCAATGAACATTAAAAGTCATATTAATGGTTAAATATTTCCTTATATGAATATACCATAATTAATCAAATCTATTGCTGGACAATTATAGCATTTTCAATTTTTTTTTTTTTTTTTTTTTGAGATGGAGTCTCGCTCTGTCACCCAGGCTGGAGTGCAGTGGCGCCATCTCAGCTCACTGCAACCTCCGCCTCCTGGGTTCACGCCATTCTCCTGCCTCAGTCTCCCGAGTAGCTGGGACTACAGGTACACACCACCACGCATGGCTTATTTTTTGTATTTTTAGTAGAGGCAGGGTTTCACCGTGTTAGCCAGGATGGTCTCGATCTCCTGACCTCGTGATCCACCCGCCTCAGCCTCCCAAAATGCTGGGATTACAGGCGTGAGCCACCGCGCCCAGCCCATTTTCACATTTTTTATGTTAAAAGATATAACATAAGAATATTGTCAGATTTTTTTTTATTAGACATAATTCTAAAAGAAAAATTGTGGATGAAATACACGTTTTAATGTGCAAGTTAAAAAAAGTTACATCAATTTAAATTCTGAAAATTCTCATTGTCTAAACTGGAAATTATCATTTTATCTTTGTTGAGTGAAAACTAGCATCTCATTGTAATCTTAAATTGCATTTCCTTAATTGCTAGTGCATTTCAACAATTTTCATGTATGTACTCATGATATGAATTTTTAATTGCCTGTTTGTATTCTTCACTCACGTTTCTTTTGATACATTTGTTCAAGTGTTTTTGGAAGATAAATCTAGTTAGGGGATGCTAAATAGTTTGAGGCATGTGTCCTATCTGAATGCAACTGAAGGAAGATAAGATTTCAGAACATAAATCTTCATTTTACTTATATTGCTATAAACTGTGCTTTGTTTTGTTTAGGCCCAGAGTGATGTTATGGGTTAAAAAAAAAAAAAAAAAAATATAACCAAAGCAATTTCAATTTTTAACCCAATATAGTCAATACTCATGATCCATGTTAGCAAAAGTAATTTCAATTTTTAATCCAAGTTCTTTACTTCTATTTCTTCAATGCTGTGAAGGAAAGAAGATACATATCCTGCCTAATAATACTTGTTGGACATTCTCTTTTTCTTCTCCCACCCACACTCTTACTTGAAGTGCCTCTTGAGTCTGTTTCTCTCTTCAAACCACCTAAAAATTCTTCTATAGTCTAGGCAACTTTTGTTCCTATTATCTCCCTCTGTCTCACTACTATTTATCATGTGTTGGAAAAATATAATTAAAAACAGAATACCCTGCCAACTCAAAAACCGTCTCCAGAAAAGTAGAGGAGAAAGGACACAGTTTTATTATCAAATAAGCATTAAACCAGAATATGACACATATCACAGGCATTCCACTAAGATTGCAAAGATAGAAAGGACTCTCACCCTTTTATATAGCTAAGCAGACACATCCCATTACATACATGTTCTCAAGATTAACAATAACTACTCCCCAAGGAACAGGACTTGACAGAACTATTCGTCACACACATCCCAGTTTTACCTGATAATTGCAGTGGCCATTTGTGTTTGCAAACTGGCTTTATCCAAAAGAAAGATAAATTTCTCATATCTTTATAACTGGAGGTAGTTTAGGAGTGAGGCGTCCATGAAACTAAGCTCCTGTCATCTCACAAAAACTGAGAGATAGGGACACTATATTCCTTGATGATTACATTTCAAAGAGATAGTTCCCTGTTCCTTTAAAAAAAATTCCTTGGTTGTAAAGCAGGCAGGAGGCTTATTTAGGTTTTAAAAGGTTTATATACATCTTGGCTGAGCAGGGTGGCTATTGCCTGTAATCCCAGCACTTTGGGAGGCTTGGGAGGGCAGATCACCTGATGTCAGGAGTTCGAGACCAGCCTGGGTAACATGGCGAAACCCCGTCTCTACTAAAAATACAAAAAATTAGCTGAGTGTGGTGGCAGGCACCTGTAATCCCAGCTACTCAGGAGTCTGAGGTAGGAGAATCACTTGAACCTGGGAGGCAGAGGTTGCAGTGAGCCAAGGTTGTGCTACTGCACTCCAGCTTGGGTGACAGAGCGAGACTCCGCCTCAAAAGAAAAAAAGAAAAAGTTTCTATACAACTTAAAAGGACAGAGAAAGAATTTACAATCCCAAGTTTTCTAAAGAAAATGCTCTGAGGAAAAGGATGGAGTGTCTTTCCCTTTTGCAAAAAGGAATATTTTTTTTCTTTCTCATTTATTTACGCTTACAAAAGCAAATTGGCTTAAACTTAACCTTACTGAGATTGGCAACACCAAACCTTTCTGCTGAGGGGAGGGAAGGGGAGGCCAAGCCAGAGTCCTCTATAGTGAGAAGGCTGTGAGGAGGGGAGAGGAGGGGGAATGTTTCTCTGTCCCTGAGGAAACACTCCTGAGATTATTAAAGCACATTTAGACTAGCAGTCCATGGTCTCAAATTCTACTTCTCCAATTAATTTGCTGAGTGCTCTGGGGGCAAAATGATATAACTTTTGCAAATCTCAGTTTCCTTATCAGACAGCGGAGAGGATGATTACTTATGCAGTTCCTCCCAAGTGCAAAATTCTGTTTTTCATCAGCTGCGCATAACTCAGAAAATAAATGGTAATGGACTATTCAAACAGGTGTTCTAGTAAAAAGTGAAACACACAAATTTCCAGAAAGGTGAAACATGACTTCAAATAATGAAGAGAAGAAGCTGAGAAGAAAGAGAAATGCAAAGACCAGGCTACCTCATCCAGAGCATAGAGCAATTCACACAGAACCGCCAACAGCCATGAAGCAACAAGGCACAGACTTCTCTGGGAAATGATTCCCAAATCTCTGTGCACTGAGTTCTGCTAAGCTACCTCCCTGACTTTTCAGCTAGATCCTGAAAAATCATAGTCAATTCGATCATCTGGGCATATGAAGATAATGATATCTAAATTATAAAAAAAATTCCAACACAGAAACTTAGAATGGTCAGATTTTACAGATTAAGGACTGTTTCACTCTTTATTTTCTAATTTGTCAACAAATTAAAATAATGTCTCTTTATGTTAAATAAATGTAACTAGGTATATCATTTATCTATGGCACAACAATGCTGCATAAAAAACAACCATAAAACCTCAGTGGCATGTAACAATAGACATGTATCCAGCTCAGGAGGCTGTGGATTTCCATAATCTGGCTGAGCTCATGAGTGCCACTAAGCTAAGGTGTGGTTTTTGAATGGCAAAACAAAAGATGTGCAAAACTCTTGACTTGATACAAAGCTGTTGAACTCAATACAATGGTTTCCAACCTTGGAGCATCAGACTTACAGTGATAGCATCTTTGACAGTTTCTCCTCAAGAACAAAGATCAATACATCCTAGCTTAACCTATTAGTAATTTTCTCATTAACAAGATATCTGCTACAGTTCTACAGTATACTTCCAAATTAAAGAACCGTACATTTGACCTAACCTATGGAACTACTAACAAAGGTATATGTGGTCGTCCCTCCTCAAAAAACAAACAAAAATGTTACTCTACCCATACAGTCAAAGCACAGACTTTCATGTGGAGTGTAGCATTAGGTGCATATTCCATGTTAGAGTTACAGAGAAAGCAAAACATTCCACATTTCCAAAAATGTAAATCTAATGCTTATTTTGATCTATGCAGTTGTTATTTTATCCAATGGGAGGAAGACTGATCAGCTCCATATTTTGAGGAATTTCTTCTTTTCTATATTCCTACTAAAGTCTACTAAAGTCTCTATTGCCCACAAGGATAACATAGAACTTCTTTTAGAAAAGATAATATCATTAGTCATCTAATCTGGGCTGGATAACTTTTTGATATCTCATTTAATCCTCATAATGAACTCACACAATCTACTATTATCTATGCTTTTTTTTTTCTTGTTCTATTTCAGAAACTTGAAAATGAGAACATTTTGATCTTGCTCTTGAGGATTATTCTGGTCCTGCTGATGCCGGGCAGGAGAGCCCCAAAGTGGAGCTTAGCCCATGAGGGCTCTTGGCTTTCCCCAGGAAAGAATTCAAGGGCAACCCAGAGGTAGAAGAAAACAGCTTTATTGAACAGGTAGTGTTACAGCTTCGGTGGTGTTCCAGCCCTGTGACTGTTCCTGCAAAGCAAAGCCACCCCTAGGCAGAGAGTAGCAGCTCAGGGCAGTTTTGCAGTCATATTTACAACCACTTTTAATTGTATGCAGATTAAGGGGTGGCTTATGCAGAAATTTCTAGGGAAGGGGTAGTAGCTTTTGGATCATTGGGTCATTTATCCTGGAAAGGAGCAGTAACTCCCGGGCGTTGCCATGGCAATGGTAAACTGACATGGCACACTGGTGGGCCTGTCTGATTGAAAACTGCTTCTGCCCCAGCTATTTTTAGCTAGTCCTCAATCTGGTCCAGTGTCCAAGCCCTGCCTCTGTTGTCAAGTTTCACCTCCTACCTCACTGCCTTCAACAGTCTTTAAAAATGTAAGAGTTAGGTCTCCAGAAAAGGAGACAATGTGTTTTCTAGATTGATTTTCAATTACTATGTTTTCCAAACATAGGCAAGATCTACCTGAGATATCCATGAGAGTGGATATGTGAAAAATGTGCAAACCCCTTCAGCTCAGGTGACCACACAGTCCCTGGTCACCTCCCATAATCTCAAGCTTTTACATCAATAAAAACTAGTTCTTCATAAGTCTGTCAATTTATATAATATTGAGTATATTGTTCACTTAGCTAATCATCTCCATATTAAATAGTAACAATATTTATTAAATGTGTTTATCCATTTGTTCCAAAGAAAAAAATTAATACATACCATTCTCTCCACAGGAAAAAATCAGAGCAATAAAAATATAATTTTGTAAAATATAATAAAATTTTAGAAACAGATCCAATTATATATTTTTTAAAATTGTGACAAATATAACACTTCAAAACAGTGAGGAAAGGATAGATAAGTTAATGAATGGTGTTAGAAAACTACCCAAAAATAAAATCTAGAATGACTAAAGATTCAAATGCCAATATGAAAAAATCCTAGGTGAAACTAGAAATATGTGTGTAAATATCATAGTGAAGGAGTTTATAAATATAAAATCATGGGCTGGCAACGGTGGCTCACGCTTGTAATCCCAGCACTTTGGGAGACCGAGGCAGGCAGACCACGAGGTCAGGAGTTCGAGACCAGCCTGGCCAACATGGTGAAACCCATTTTTACTAAAAACACAAAAAAAATTAGCCAGGCGTGATGGCACACTCCTGTAATCCCAGCTACTCGGGAGGCTGAGGCTGGAGAATCACTTGAACCCGGGAGGCTGAGTTTGCAGTGAGCCAAGATCACACCACTACACTCCAGCCTGGGTGACAGAGCGAGACTCTGTCTCCAAAAGAAGTAAAATAAAATAAATATAAAATCATAATACAGAAGCCATATGGGATGACAGAGGGGTGCTGGAGGAATGGCAATGCTGTTTCCAAAAATTTATTCTTAAAAACACATGTTTCCGAAGCTGGGCGCAGCAGCTCACACCTATAATCCACCACTTTGGGAGGTCAAGGCAGGAGGATTGCTTGAGCCCAGGAGTTCAAGACAAGCCTGGGCAATATGGCAAGACCTCGTCTGTACAAAAAAATTTTAAAATTAGCTGGGTGTGGTAGCGCACACCTGCGATACCAGCTACTGGGGAGGCTGAGGTGGAAGGATCACTTGAACTCAAAAGGGCTAGGCTGCAGTGAGCTAAGTTCATGCCACTGCACTCTAACCTGGGTGACAGAGTGAGATCCTGTCTCAAAAAAAAAAAAGAAGTTACCAAAAATGAAGGAGGGCTCTGAAGGTTTTATCAAACTAACCATCTCACCCCCAGTACATCAGCATGGCTATCTGTCTGTAGTTTACATGGTGATGAGGGGATGGGTCAAAATAAATGCACCCATCCCTATGAGATTCCTGAGCAGGTGCTAGGCACCGTGCTAGGCACCATGCCAGACTCCGGGGATGCAGAGATGACTCCATTCCACAATAGAAGAACTTAGAGAGTTCTGTGAATCGGATAGATTTCTGCTTATAATACAGGGATCATGAAGAAAACAAGCTGTGGACAGGCAGCAAGAATCACAATGTACCAGCCCTGAAATTGTGCTTTACTTCACAGAAAAAATATATAGATCAGAGGTCCCTGAAATGGTGACAGCCAGAACAATAATCTAAAGACACATCTGCTTAGATTTTACCCTGTTCATGTGTGTTCTAGAGATCTTTCTGTGATCCCGACAAATTATTTTTCCCTTAACCTCAGCTATTTCATTTACAAAATAGAGGTCTCAAACTAGCTAGCCCTTAAGGTTGCTTCTTGTGGCAACATTACACACCAGCCTAGCAAGTAGCTTCAAAATCATAAGACAGGTGTCCAGGCCATGCATCACACTGTAACCTAGAGTATATGTATTAATCATATGTGTTATAACTGCTTTAGGCCTGCTCTGTTTTTCCTGGAGCTGAACTCTTTCTAGAATAGACTATCTCCCTCACCTTCCTGGGATCTAGGAGCTCATTAAACATTTTCTTAAGGTTTCGTGGAGCTGTTGTGCACCTACTTTTGCATTCTCAAAAACAGATGTGCCTTCTTGTATAAACTCCTTAGAACATTTTCTTTCGCAAGGTTATAAGTATATAGCTTTGCAAAGACTCTTAGCTAAGGACACTGGGCAGTTGCTTTCTTAAGTGCGTATGCAGGGTATAAGGGAAACAGCATTGCTTGGGAATGAAAAGGCCTGGATCCTTGTTTCAGCAGTCATTAGCCTACATAGAATTAGACAGTATCTTACACACAGCAGGCACTCAGTAAATGTCTGTGGAATTGAATTAGAGCTGCTAGGCCATTATTGTGAAGGATTTTGATGTTGTAACACTACCATCTAGTGGGAAATCTGATCTGAAAAAAATTCAGTGTTCCTAAAAACATTCTTTTGAACACCTTTGAATCAAATGGTATGGATACATTTTTAAACTACTGCATGTCAAGCCAGCATTTCTTGTAGTATTGTTACTGGAAAGGGGTCCCAATCCAGACCCAAGAGAAGGTTCTTGGGTCTCACACAAGAAAGAATTTGAGGCAAGTCCACAGAGTAAAGTTAAAGCACGTTTATTAAGAAAGTAAAGGAATAAAGAATGGCTACTCCACAGGCAGAGCAGCCCCACGGGCTGCTGGTTGACCATTTTTATGGTTATTTCTTGATTATATGCTAAACAAGGGGTGGCTTATTTATGAGTTTTCCAGGAAAGGGGTGGGCAATTCCTGGAACTGAGGTTTTCTCCACTTTTTAGACCATATAGGGTAATTTCCTGACCCATGGCATTTGTAAACTGTCATGGCCCTGGTGGGAGTGTAGCAGTGAGGATGACCAGAGGTCAGTCTCATCGCCATCTTGGTTTTGGTGGGTTTTAGCCAGCTTCTTTTATCAACAAGGTCTTTATCAACCTGTTTTATCAACAAGGTCTTTATGACCTGTACCTTGTGCCGACCTCTTATCTCATCCTGTGACTAAGAATGCCTTAACCTTCTATGAATGCAGCCCAGTAGGTCTCAGCCTCATTTTACTGAGCCCCTATTCAATATGGAGTCACTCTGGTTCAAATGTCTCTTGACAGTATGATCATTGGAGTTGCAATATATGAATAGGTGATATATGAAAAAAGGCATTGTGGTCGAGTAACTTCGGGTAACCCAAAGTAAAACAAAAATAAGCCTTCTTTAAAAAATATACGGCTTCTCAAAGGGTTTTTTTGTTTGTTTTTTAGATGGTCTCATTCTGTCACTCACACTGGAGTGGGCACAATAACAGTTCACTGCAGACTTGACTTCCCAGGCTTAGGTGATCATCCCCAACTCAGCTTCCCAAGTAGCTGGGACTACAAATGCACACCACCATGCCCAGCTAAGTTTTTTTGTGTGTTTTTTGTAAAGAGAGGGTTTTGCTATGTTGCCTAGGCTGGTCTGGAACTCCAGGGCTCAGGTGATTTGATGGCCTCTGCCTCCCAAAGTGCTGGGATTACAGGTATGAGCCACCACGCCCCACCCTTTTCTCCAAAAGTTATTAAATCAACAACAAGACTTATAATTAATGTCACTTTTACTGAGGACAAATACAGTAATATGCAGATTTCACACCTTTATTTGAATATTGGTCTCTTTTTTTCTTGGAGCATCTCATAGGAATAGTGTTCTACATGACACATTGTTGTAATAAGATCAGATAAAAATGTTGATCGAATTACACTGGTATGGTTATCAGGATAAATTGATCCATCTCATGCACTTATTTTGGTACTCTTTTTTTTTTTTTGAGATGGAGTCTCGCTCTGTCGCCCAGGCTGGAGTCAGTGGCACGATCTTGGTTCACTGCAACCTCTACCTCCTGGGTTCAAGCAATTCTCCTGCCTCAGCCTCCCAAGTAGCTGGGACTACAGGTGCGCACCACCACGTCTGGCTAATTTTTATATTTTCAGTAGAGATGGGGTTTCACCATATTGGCCAGGCCAGTCTCCAACTCCTGACCTTGTGATCCATCCACCTCAGCCTCCCAAAATGCTGGGATTACAGGCGTGAGCCACCACGCCTGGCCTATTTTGGTACTCTTAACACACAAATCAGTTTTGTCTTTGTGATATATTCAATGGCTTATGCCCAGCGACTAGAGCAGCTGGAAAAAGCCAAATCTCACTAGAAGTACTAAATTTTGTAGGACCATAGAAATATGTCCTATAGACGAAGAGTAAAGACATAGGGACTCAAAATACTATTTTTATTTCAAATTGTGCACCAAGGTGCCAAAGGGCACAGCAGAAAACTTGCATGGCTACTACAAGCTATTTTAAATTTTCAGGTGAAGCATATCTTGACATCTGTCAGGCCCTGCATGAACTACTAGCCTACAGTAAATCAGTTTCACCATGAGATCGCACTACATTCCTTTCATTGATGTCAAATTTTTGTGAAGCTGAGTTTCTACGGTTACTGTGACTTCTTTAAAAAGCAAGTACAGTACTGTTTGGAAATCAATAGAACGGTTAATTTTGTGTTGTTTTTGTTTTCTTTTTGTTTTGCCTAGAGGTGCCATAAAAAGTCTCTAAGGCACAAAGAACACTACGAACAAAGAAAGTTTGAGAACCTCTGGAGTAATCCATCCAACAATGAACAAATATTTAAGAATTTATCAGGTGCCAGGTTCTGGGTGCTGGCAATAACAGCGATAAAACAAAACAAAGTCTCAACTGCAATGGAATTTACATTTTAGAGAGGAAAGATGGATAATAACAAATGAATCTGCATATCAGAGTGAGATGAAGAGCAATTATAGTTTCCTACCACCTACTAAATAAAGTTTAAATTTTTAATCTGGACATCAGTCCCTCCACAATATGCCCAATAAGTTAATTGTTATAATTTCTTTCCATGAGATTCCTTGAAGTAGAGGTTCCTTGGTTACTTAGGAGAATGCATCATCTTCCTTATTAGGACATAAGCTACTTGAGGAAAGGGACAGAATCTCATTCCATTTTATATTCGTTTTAGCACCAACATCGTTTCTTGTCTACAGAAATTACTCAACACATAATTGTTGGGTAAATGAAAGACACTAGATAATGGCAATCAACAACAAATAGGACTGCTTCAATTTCCCACTTAGCACTGAAGCTAACACTCCATTACTGATATGTTGTCTAATAATCTTAACGTATTCCACATATCAAGTTTAAACTTGTAGTTTCAATACCGTCCCACATGTTCGAGACTCTGTCTAGAGTTACTCCCCATTGAGAATCTCAAAACGTTACTAGTCAGGTTGACTTCAGGCAGCAGAAATGAACACCTGATCATCAGCAGACTTGAATAACAGTGATGTCTACGTGATGGCCTCACTGTCTACTCTGGCCCTTGGGGACATTTCTTGTATTACGCCATTCTGTACTGACTCACCTTTTCTGGCTTATCTCCACATCCCCATGCCCCAGAGTAGGCTCTTCAGGATGCTCCTACTTAAACATTTTATGCCAAAGTTAACATTCATTATAAACAAAGAGTCACTGTAAATAGAATGAAAATGAGTGAGGTTTGACATAATACTGAAATAGGCTTTGGATTAGAGAATCCAGTGGGACTCCTACCCTGAAAGAAGAATGAGCAACCATTTGTGAGGATGACTTTAGTGAAGCACCCTCCTGTAACAACAGTCTAATCAACACAGGATTTAAATAATTAAAAGAAATATCTGTGTAACCAACCATCTTGGTTTGCCAGCAACTGAAGGTTTTCCTAGTACATGAGCATTCAGTGCTAAAACCAGAACGATCCTGGGCAAACCAGCATAGCTGGTCACCTAAAATAAACTCATATGCCAGCTTGAGGAAGTAACATGAGAAACATCATTTAAAAATTTTTTGAGACAGAGTCTCGCTTTGTTGCCCAGGCTGGAGTACAGTGCTGTGATCATGGCTCACTGGCAGCCTCACTCCCCCTGGGCACAAGCAATCCTCCAGCCTCGGCCTCCTGAGTAGCTGAAACTACAGGCACATGCCACCATGCCCAGCTACTTTTGTTGTTGTTGCCCAAGCTAGTATCAAACTCCTGGGCTCAAGCGATCCTCCCACCTCAGCCTCCTGAAGTGCTGTGATTACGGGAAAGAACCACTGTGCATGGCCAAGTAAATTTTTTATTTGAGAAAGTTACTTAACCCCTCTCTGGGCCTCACTTTCTTCATGTGAAAAACAGGACTGATAATAGTCCCTAAATCCTACAGTGGTTGTGAAGAGTCAATAAACTGAAATGCAGAGTACCTGGAGTATGGTAAATTACTCAATACATTTCATGTCTTGTCATTACTGGTTTTCCTTTATGAGGCACTTACGAATGTGTGCCTCATTTCAATGTAATGAGATGACAAGTAATTCAATTATTTTTTATCAAAAAATGTATGCACACTAAGACTTTAACTATTCAAGACTTAGCTGCCTATCCCTTTCCACTGGACATGGATATTCTTTTAAGAAATCTCCTGGCCAGGCACAGTGGTTCGTGACTGTAATCCCAACACTTCTGGAGTCTGAGGCAGGAGGGTCACTTGAGCCCAGGAGTTCAAGACCAGTCTGGCAGGCTGGGCAACATAGCAGACATCATCTCTAAAAAAAAATTTTTTTTTTTTTTTTTGAGATGGAGTCTTGCTCTGTCGCCTGGGCTGGAGTGCAGGGGCGCCACCTTGGCTCACTGCAAGATCCACCTCCTGGGTTCACACCATTCTCCTGCCTCAGCCTCCCAAGTAGCTGGGACTACGGGCACCTGCCACTATGCCCAACTTTTTTTTTTCTTTTTTGTATTTTTAGTAGAGACGGGGTTTCACCGTGTTAGCCAGAATGGTCTCAATCTCCTGACCTCGTGATCTGCCCACCTCGGCCCCCCAAAGTGCTGGGATTACAGGCGTGAGCCACTGCGCTGGACCAAATGTTTTTTGTTTGTTTGTTTTTTTAACTAGACAAGCATGGCGGCACATGCCTGTAGCCATTTAAAATGTTTTTTAAAAAGGAAACCTCCTGCCCGGCATGGTGGCTCACTCCTGTAATCCCAGCACTTTAAACAGCGGAGGCAGGTCAGATCACTTGAGGTCAGGAGTTCGAGACCAGCCTGGTCAACATGATGAAACCCCAACTTTACTAAAAATACAAAAATTAGCCGGGCGTGGTGGCATGCGCCTGTAATCCCAGCTATTCGTGAGGCTGATGCAGAATCGCTTGAACCCAGGAGGTGGAGGTTGCAGTCAGCCAATATCGTGCTACTGCACTCCAGCCTAGGCAACAGAGCGAGACTCCATCTCAAAAAAAAAAAAAAAAAAGGAAACCTCCTGATGGTGATTATTAAAGGTAAAATAAAATCTACCAATTGATAAACAAGCATCATGTGGCCTGTGGACTATCATTTAATATAGGTCCTAACCAGTCTCCATTGCCAGCCTACAAATTAAAGAATTAAAGGCCCTAATGATAGTCCATTTTAAAATTATGATGAATGGAAAATAGATTATTCTCTAAAAGAAATTTTGAGATAGAGAGGAAGAAACTTGCCTATTGTCACATGAGAAAATATTGTTAAGTCCAGCATTCTGCTAATGCCCATGTCTAGAAAATGTAATTCCTTTTCAATGATTCCTAGACAGGGATTCTGGGAATAATGTCATAACAGATTACACTGTATATTCACTGACTATTATATACTTCATTACCAATAGCACCCCTAGAATATAGACTGTAAATTAGAGGCCTTGTCTGTCTTATTCTCCACATGTTATCCTGCCTATAATATTGCCTAACCCATAGTAAGAACTCAGTTGCAGAAATCAATGTACACTTAGCTTACCACCAGATTTATTTCCAATGCTGAAACACTTATTCATTTATTTATTTATTTATTTTTAATTTTATTTATTTATTCATTTGAGACAGGGTCTCACTCCGTCACCCAGGCTGGAGTACAGTGGCACAGTCACAGCCCACTGCAGCCTCGACCTCCTGGGCTCAGGTAATCTTCCCACCTCAGCCTCCTGAGTAGCTGGGGCCACAGGCAGGCACCATCACGCCTGGCTAATTTTTGTATGTTTAGTAGAGACGGGTTTCACCAAGTTGCCCAGGCTGGTCTCAAACTCCTGGACTCACGTGATCTTCCCACCTCAGCCTCCCAAAGTGCGGGGATTACAGGCGTGAGCCACCGCACCCAGCAAAATACATATTTAAAAGAATTATGGGCCGGGTGCGGTGGCTCATGCCTGTAATCCCAGCACTTTGGGAGGCCGAGGCGGGCAGATCACCTGAGGTCGGGAGTTTGAGGCCAGCCTGACCAACATGGAGAAACCCTGTCTCTACTAAAAATACAAAATTAGCCGAGCGTGGTGGCACATCCCTGTAATCCCAGCTACTAGGGAGGCTGAGGCAGGAGAATCACTTGAACCTGGGAGGCGGAGGTTGCAGTGAGCCCAGATCATGCCATTGCACTCCAGCCTGAGCAACAAGAGCAAAACCCTGTCTCAGGAAAGAAAAAAAAAAAAGAATTACGTCAAGTTGGACACAGTGGTGCATGCCTGTAATCCCACCTGAGAAGGGAGGATCACTTGATCCCAGGAGTTCAAGACCAGTCTGGGCAACAAAGCAAGACCCTGTCTCAAAATTAAAAAAACAAACAAACAAAACAAACAATATCAGCCAGAGGTAAATTGTTAAATAAGCTTTTATAACACTTGAGCCCAGGAGGCAGAGGTTGCAGTGAGCCAAGATCATGCCACTGCCCTCCAGCCTGGGCAACAAAGCCAGACTGTGTCTCAAAAAATAAAAAAGAAAGAAAAAAGAAAGAAAGAGAGAAATACCTGAGACTGGGTAATTTATCTTAAAAAGGGGTTTAATTGGCTCATGGTTCTGCAGGCTTTACAGGAAGCATGGTGCTGGCATCTGTTCAGCTTCTAGGGAGGCCACAGAAAGCTTACAATCATGGCAGAAGGTGCAGGAGGGAGAGCAGGCACATCACATTGGGAAAGCAGGTGCAAGAGAGAGAGAGAGAGTGGAGGGGGAGATGCCACACTTTACAACAACCAGGTCTCCAGAGAACTCACTCTCTATCTCCAAGACAGCACCAAGCCATGAGGGATCCACTCCCATGACCCAAGCACTTCCTTCCCACCAGGCCCCACCTCCAGCACTGGAGATTACAATTCAACATGAGATTTGGGCACGGACAAATATCCAAACTATATCATACATGTTTGACTCTATTCGCAAGATTAAGATTTTCTTACTTTACTAAGTAAGAACTTTACCACCCCTCCATGCTTAATTGGGAACACTTTTTCAGTGTCTAACATAGGCACTAACAGGAATCTAAATTTACATACAAATGGAGTCATCCTATACTATTGCTCTGCAATTTTTTCATTGTGCTTAAAATGAGTTGTATTACTGGACATATTTTGGTTTCAAAACATATTGATCTTTTTTCCTTTTTATGCCCAGGCATCTCCTGAATAAGGAGAGTGACAGATCATAGCCATATCATGGCATTGTTGACTGAAATGTGAGAATTTCACTCTCAACTACCCTATCCTTCATTTCCTACCTCCCCCAACAAACAGGAAAAATGTAAACCTCTCCAGAGATATCAGTTTTCCTAGACTCTCCCATTCCTTCTCATTTGAAACCTTATATTAGTTTGCGAGGGCTCCCATAAGAAGTGCAGAGACTGGGTGGCTAAACAAAAATTTATTTTCACACAATTATGGAGGCTAAAAGTCCAAGATCAGAGTGCAAAAAGGTTATTTCTTCTGAGGCCTCTCTCATTGGCTTGCAGATAACCACCTTTTCCCTATGACATCACACCATCTCCCCCTCTGTGCATATCCGTGTTCTAACATGCTCTTCTTACGGGGGCACCAGTCATACTGGATTAGGGTCCAGCCTAATGACCTCATTTTACCTCTTTCAAGACTCTGTCTCCAAATGTAGTCACATTCTGAGGTAATGAGGGTTATGACTTCAATATGTGAATTTTGGGGGGACACGATTCAGCCTATAACAGACCTCCATTTAAGAGTACATTCAGGCCGGGCGTGGTGGCTCATGCCTGTAATCCCAGCACTTTGGGAGGCCAAGTTGGGCGATCAGCTGAGGTCAGGAGTTTGAGACCAGCCTGGCCAACATGGTGAAACCCTGTCTCTACTAAAAATACAAAAAATTAGCAGGGCGTGGTGGCACACACCTGTAATCCCAGCTACTCTGAAGGCTGAGGCAGGAGAATTGCTTGAACCCTGGAGGTGGAGGTTGCAGTGAGCCGAGATTGCGCCACTGCACTCCAGCCTGGGCAACAGAGTGAGACTCCGTCTCAAAAAATAAAAATAAAAAAAAAGAGTATATTCATGTTTCTATAACATATACATTCAAATATTAATTTTACCAAGAGGAACTATGAGGCTACTACTTTACCAAAATTCTGAATCAGGAAATACATGTTAGAGAACTGCAACATCAACTAGGGTTTCCAGTTATAGGCAGGGATAGAGATGGTTTTCCTACTTAATTTGTTTATGTTTTTCCCTTTGGATTTACTGCTCATTTATGCTTCTATTTATCAGAATGGATGCTTACTGGAAAACATACTTATCTTTCATGTTAAATCATAGTCAGAAAATAATGACATCAATGGAAGCCAATAGCTGTTAAGGAGACATGATCATTCAGTTTTTGCACTTGGTGAAAATTAAGTATTTAAAATGCTTAATGCAGCCACTTATCATTCTGTCATCCAGGCACTTCCATCTCCCTGTGAGACTCAAGCCTCACTTGCATCTTAAATTCATGCGGTATCTATTACCTGTGCCATTTGATACAGCACAACCTTTTCACAAAGTACCTACTGGGGAGTAATTTCTCTTTGCATAATTTCCACATTGATTTCCAACTGCCTGAATAACAATCAAGGCACAGATTAATCCCCTACCCACCTGAATTCTTTAACTCAGGAATTATTTTCATCTATTAATATTAACCTTGGTGTGAACAATTTCAAACATCTAACCTGCAAAACGTAATTATGGGGACAGAGCGTAGAGGCAGATTTGAGCTGGCAGGAACTTTACTAACTTACTCTCACGATGGGGTTAACTTGTTTCAGGCTTATCATGAGGAAGTATTTTATTTATTCCGGCTCAGAAATAAAGAATATTCCTTTGACAAGGGAGATAAAACAATCCAGTCTATGATTGCTGTTGTTTTTTAATTTCCTGCATGTGTGATAAACATAACTTCAGCTTAGAATATGGATATATCACAAGAAAAGGTCCTGAGAAAATTTATTTTCATTATCTGAAGCAATGGGCTGCACAGAGAAAGAGACTGAGACCCTTATATTGGTATTTTGTCCTCTAACATCTCCTGTGATAATCAGCAGTCCCAAGGTCACATTAAACCGGAGCCCCAGTAAACATGGAGAGACGATTATAAACTGTCACAGGTGACTTCAGCACCTCAGATATGTTAGCATGTGGAAAAGAATATATTTTGAATGTCCTCCATTTGGCATAAATAACCAAAAAGCAATATGTTTAAGCTAAAGACTATGATCATCAGTGCATACAGGAAGCTCTCCAGGACACACCCCATTCTGCAGCTGTAGATATTTTCCAAACACAAGGGACACAATGGAATGTAATATCATGAATATTTCAAGAATTAATTGATTTATAAGCAAAGCACTCCTACATCCAGGAAAATCCATTTTGTCAATGTGGATGGAAGGAAACGAGCAGGGAATAGATTCGTGTTTCTCTTTTCAAAATTACATAAGCGCCAGGTGCGGTGGCTCATGCCTGTAATTCCAACACTTTGGGAGGCTGAGGTGGGCGGATCACCTGAGGTCAGGAGTTCAAGACCAGCCTGACCAACATGATGAAACCCCATCTCCACTAAAAATACAAAAATTAGCCGGCTGTGATAGTGCATGCCTGTAATCCCAGCTACTCGGGAGGCTGAGGCAGGAGAATTGCTTGAACCCGGGAGGCAGAGGTTGCAATGAGCTGAAATTGCGCCATTGCACTCCAGCCCAGGGTATAAGAGCGGAACTCCATCTCAAATAAATAAATAAATTTATTTCATTAGAATAATGAAATTCATATAATAATGAATTCATTAAATAGAGCATTATTCATAAGCTCTGAAACTTGCGTTAAAATCTGAAAAACCACAAACTTAAGTTAATCAGATCACCAAGAAATGGCCTTTGTCTAACACACACAGCACACACACACACAGTGCACACACACACACACACACACATTCTTTCTGTCTCTCTGTCTCTCTCTTCATGTTTACAGATTTTTTTTTTTTTTGAGACAGGGTCTCGCTCTGTCGCCCAGGCTGGAGTGCAGTGGCAGAATCAAGGCTCACTGCAGCCTCAATCTCCCTGGCTCTAGCAATCATCCCACCTCAGCCCCTTGAGTAGCTGGGATCACAGACATGTGCCACCACACCTGGCTAATTTTTTTATTTTTTGTAGAGACGAGGTCACCCTGTTTCCCAGGCTGATCTGGAACTCCTGAGCTCAAGTGATCCTCCTGCCTTGGCCTCCCCAACTACTGGAATTACACACATGAGCCACCATGACCAGCCCAATATTCCTGAAACTTCTAAGGCAGAGCTGAATCTCAGGATCTATTAAACAAAAGATGGCAGAATTCGCACCATACTTTTCTACTCCTAGACAGACAAACAAGAACCTGTTAAGTGTTAAATCCACCTATTTCTTTCTCCCTCCCTCTAATGCAGGAGAGCCAGGCATATGCCTTTTAGCCCTGGCCCCCACCACACCAAGATCCATGGCCCATAGCAGGTCACGTCTCCCACTCCCTCTCATTTTACTATAAAGAAGGACCTTCAACACTCTGTTTGGAAATCTCCCTAACTAGGTCAACCACTTCATTAGGTATATTTTCTACTCTCTGTCTTACCTCAGGTGACAGTGTTGTTATACTTTTTACCACTACACAACAAGGACCCGCTTTTCTCCAGTCTCATTTCTCCAGAAACATTTTCCGCATTCCAGGAAGCCCTCACTGGCAGTCTTCTGAAAGGTCTTCAAGCTTCTATCAAGCATCTCTTCAAGACACCTCAGGCTTTGAGTTACACTCTCCTCACAATCCTTCCAGTTTCTGCCCACTGCCAGTTCCCAAAGCCATTCCCGCTCTTTTTTTTTTTTTTTTTTTTTTTTTTTGATCCCTGAGACTGAATCTCGCTCTGTTGCCCAGGCTGGAGTTCAGTGGCTCAATCTCAGCTCACCGCAACCTGCACCTTCTGGGTTCAAGCAATTCTCCTGCCTCAGCCTCCCAAGTAGCTGGGATCACAGGTGCCCACCCACCACACCAGGCTAATTTTTTGTATTTTTAGTAGAGATGGGGTTTCACCATGTTGGCCAGGCAGGTCTCAAACTCCTGGCCTCAAGTGATCTGCCTGCCTCGGCCTCCCAAAGTGCTGGGATTACAGGTGTGAGCCACTGCACAAGGCCACTCCCACATTTTTAATTTTTGTTATGACAGCACTTCACTTCTAATCTGTAACAGTTATCTAATGCCACATAATGAATTATTCCAAAACTTAGCAACTTAAAATAACAATCAACATTTATTATCTCACATAGTTTCCATTGGCCAGAAAATTGGAAGTGGCTTAACTAGGTGGTCGTGGCTGAGAGTCTCTAATGAGGTAGCAGTCCAGATACCAGATGCAGCTACAGCCATCTGAAACCTGGAAGGTTTGCTTCAGAGTTGGCTCAGTTACATAACTGGCAATTTCATGCTGGCTGTTGGCAGGAGGCCTCAGTTCCTCACCGTGTGGACCTCTCCAAAGAAGATATACAAATGCTTGAGAGTCCTCATGACCAGGGACTGGATATACTCTCCTGTCTCAAATAACTAAAAAACAAGATCAAATGTATAAAACGATGTTCAGATATTAGACATTAGGCAACATGAAACAGTAAACCTTAAAGGCCAGGCATGGTGGCTCACGTCTGTAATCTCAGCTCTCCTTGGGAGGCCAAGGCAGGAGGATCATTTGAGCCTAGGAGTTCAAGACCAGCCTGGGCAACATACCAAGACCTCATCTTTACAAAAAATTAAAAAAACTAACCTGGCATGGTGGTGTGCACTTGTAGTCCCAGCTACTTGGGAGACTGAGGTGGGAGGATCACTTGAGCCCAGGAGTTCAGGGGTACAGTGAGCTATGATTGCACCATTGCACTTGGACTGAGCCAACAGTGCAAGACTCTGTCTCTAAAAATAAAAAAACAAAAATGTAAAAAGACATTAATCCTGAGAAAGGAAGAGCAAGTGAAATAAAACC
The DNA here is from genome assembly GCF_000001405.40 of Homo sapiens. NCBI lineage: Eukaryota > Metazoa > Chordata > Mammalia > Primates > Hominidae > Homo > Homo sapiens. Next base: position 32,935,391 of record NC_000012.12, on the reverse strand, counting down.
TATAATTGCCCATGGTTTCCTTCCTGAAGAGTTTCCAGACCACAACATGGAAAAAGAAACCCAGGAGAAGCCTGGGGATTACTTGAAGCTGAAGAGACAGAACTGAGAGCCCAGGAAGGCAGATAGAGTTCATAGGGCAGAACACCAGAGGAGAGAGAGCTGAGAACTCTGGAGATCAGCAGAGAGACCCCTCAAGTCTTCAGCTGAGTACTGATCAGCACGTGTGTGTGAGGAATACTTGAAACCAGGGGAAAAACAACCAAAGAAAAGCAGAGGGAAAAGAACTCATACAGGCTAGGAAATATTCATTCCCTCCCAGTAGAAAAGGCCTCCATAGTGAAGCCAAGTTAGTCCTAAACTAAGAGCTGCTCTAGTGCTTCCCAACAGAGGCTAAAATCAAGCCTCAAAATAATTAAACTGTTCCATGCAACTTAATTGCATCCCAGAATAAGGTTCAAGAACATTGATAGGAATACAAAATATCCAGTGCTCAATGGGTAAACTTCAGCATGTGTAGGACCCAGAAAAAATCACCAGGCAAGCAAAGAATCAGGAAAACACCACCAACAGTAAGGAGATCAATCAATAGGATGACTCAGAAAGGTATAAGCAATAGAATTAGTAGACAAGGACATTAAAGCATACATATATGATATATTTCTTATGTTCAAGGGGGTAAAGATTGAGTATGTCAAGAAATGAAAGACATATACAAAAAAGATCAAACTTTAAAAGATGAAATACAACATATCAAATAAAAAATATAGCAGTTAAGCTTAATAGCAGATTAGACCCTGCCAAAGAAAATATTAGTAAACTTGAAAGCATAATAATAGAAACTAAAATGAAATACTGAGAGAAAAGACTAAAAATTAACTGAAACAGAGCATCAGTGAGTTGCAGGACAACTTCAAGCAGCCTAACATACATGTAAGGGGGTGGGGCAGAGAGAAGAATTATTTAAATAATGGCTACGTGTTTTTCAAATCTGGTGAAATCTGTAAATCCATACATCAAAGAAGCTCAACAAACCCCAAACACAAAAAACATGGGCTGGGCGCAGTGGCTCACGCCTGTAATCCCAGCACATTGGGAGGCCAGGTGGGTGGATCACGAGATCAGGGGTTCGAGACCAGCCTGGCCAAGATGGTGAAACCCCATCTCCTCTAAAAATACAAAAATTAGCCAGGCACAGTGGCAGGCACCTGTAATCCCAACTGCTCAGGAGGCTGAGGCAGAAGAATTGCTTGAATTGGGGGGGGTGGAGGTTGCAGTGAGCCGAGATCACGCCACTGCACTCCAGCCTGGGCGGCAGAGTGAGACTCCGTCTCAAAAAAAAAAAAAAATGAAGAAAATTATACTTAAGGCACCACAGAATGCGTAACATAAATAGTAACCTTGGCACTTCTGACCCCTTACCTGCTATATTTTCTTCATAGCTATTACCTTTACTTAACACCATACATCATTTATTTATATAGTCATTGGATTACTGTCTCTTTTGCCCCCTAAATATGAGCTTCATGAAATAACAGCAAGAAGTTTTCTTGTTTGTTATAACATATCCAATATCTAGATATATAAAATATCCAATATCTAGATATATATCTAGATATATATTGGATATATATCCAATGCCTAGCATACAGTACATACCCAATAAATATATGCTGAATATTTATTCCGAGAAATGAGTTTTTTTGGTTGTTTTTGTTTTTGTTTTTGTTTTTGAGATGGAGTCTCGCTCTGCCACCCAGGCTGGAATGCAGTGGTGTGATCTCGGCTCACTGCAACCTCCGCCTCCCAAGTTCAAGCCATTCTCCTGCCTCAGCCTCCAAGTAGCTGGGATTACAGGCATGCGCCATCTTGCCCGGCTAATTTTTGTAGTTTTAGTAGAGACGGGGTTTCACCATGTTGGCCAGGCTAGTCTTGAACTCCTGATCTCAGGTGATCCGCCCACCTTGGCCTCCCAAAGTGCTGAGATTACAGGCGTGAGCCACCATGCCCAGGCGAGTTTAGTTATTTTTTACTCAATTACTTTATCATGCTTAAGGAGACAGTTTAATGTTAGAAATAAAAACATTATTTTAACCAGTACTAAATGCACAGACCAAATTATCTCTAATTCATTATTCATTTTAAAGCAAAATACATTGCAGACTTAACCCAATTGTCTCAGTAGGATCTTGCTTTTTACATTATACCTTGAAATTTCCAACATCCATGGTGACACTTGCTTTCCTTTTTCTTTGTCTTTACTCCCAATCTGGTCTCCTCCATATTTACATAAAAATACCATCCTGGGACACATAGAAACACATCCAGACATACCCATGTGCACACGCCCCCCATCCCCACCCCACCCCCCCCGCCGACAAACACACACTGTATAAGTCAGTTCTCACACTACTATGAAGAAATACCCAAGACTGGGTAATGTATAAAGAAAAGAGGTGTAATTGACTCACAGTTCCACATGTCTGGGGAGCCCTCAGGAAACTTACAGTCATGGCGGAAGGCACCTCTTCACAGGGTGACAGGAAAGAGAATGAGTGCCTGCAGGGGAAATGCCAGATGCTTATAAAACCAACAGATCTCATGAGACTCACTCACTATCACGAGAACAGCATGGGGCAAACCGCTCCCATGATCCAATTACCTCCACCGGGTCCCTCCCATGACACATGGGGATTATGGGACCTACAACTCAAGATGGTATTTGGGTGAGGACACAGCCAAGCCGTATTACACATACACTCTCAAATAGAAATAGGAAGACAAAGACACACAGGCCACACACACACACACACACACACACACACACACGCACGCCCAGCAAACACATACAGACCCATACAAAGACACATAAACAATAACATCTTCACAGACTTACAGATTTTAAAGAAATCTATACTAAATTGCTACACACTGTATCCCCTCTTAGAGATTCATAACTTGTTTTAAGGGATCTTGCTTTAAAAAGTTGTATTACATTATTTAACATAGCATTTTCCAAAATTATTTGAACATGGACCTTCCTCACACTACCTTTAGCATCCTGAGGAAGAGTCTTCTGCAGCACATGGGCTTGGGAAATGCTGAGTGAGATCATCTCATGAAGAGCATCGGGTTATTTGCCCAGAAGCAGCCCCATCCCTTGGGAAGATTTTTCAGAAGTCAGAACCTCAAAACCCATCTTAGATGTATTAAATTGAATCAATGCTCTACTCTATTATCTGAAATTTCAGAGGGCAATATACTCTTTTTTTTTCTTTTTTTTTTTTTTTTGAGATAGAGTTTCGCTCTGTCACCCAGGCTGCAGTGCAGTGGCATGATCTCAGCTCACGGCAACCTCTGCCTCCCAGGTTCAAGTGATTCTCCTGCCTCAGCCTCCTGAGTAGCTGGTATTACAGGCATGCACCACCACGCCCAGCTAATTTTTGTATTTTTAGTAGAGATGGGGTTCCACCATGTTGGTCAGGCTGGTCTTGAACTCCCGACCTTGTGATCCACCTGCCTCGGCCTCCCAAAGTGCTGGGATTACAGGCATGAGCCACCACGCCCAGCCTGGCAATATACTCTTATTTCCAATTTCTTAGCTAGTATCTCACTATTAACCCTGTTAACCCTGCACATGTACAACACTCTCTGGAGTTCCTTTCATGTGATGCCCAACTGTCTTGTTCTGAGATCAGGTGTCACCCTCCCCATGAAGACCTCACCAGCCTATCTAGATGGTCAATCCAATTCCCCTACTTTGTGGTGTTACTCTACCTTGTAATTTTTTTCCTATCCCTATGCCTGTTGACCTTCGTTGTAATTGTTTTCATGTTTCTCTTTTACTAAACTGTCACTTCCTTGAGAATAAATGCTCAATTTTTTATTTTATATTTCTAGTGCCTTTCAATATATTTAAAATAAGTACTCAATAATTTTATTTTTGCTGTTATTGATTTGTTTAAGTTAAAGTGAATTGAAATCTACTCATTTTATTCTACTTTGGAACAGTTCTCAGTTCTCAGCCATTCATGTACGACATCCATTACATATTGAGTCTTTTATATAATACATACCCCATTTAATATTTATTTGTCCTATAGTCATCAGGCTGTGTCAGGGATACATTGTGACTGGCTACTCAATAGTGTCAAAAATGTGTGTAGGGATATGGCCAAGAAGACAATGTTGAATAAGAAGGCCACAATAAGTAAGCATTGAGAACACTAGCATTAGTATTTGAACCAGCTCCCAAACTCCCAGCTCACTGATATGCCAATGGCTACCACCATCTCCTGACTGAGATCTGTTAGCCATGGCCAAGGAGAACTGGAGAGTTAAGATTAAGTTAAGGAGAACTGGAGAGTTAAGAGTTAAGTGTAAGTACTGAAAAAGCAACACCGAAGGTTAAAATAATAACGATAAAATAATACAATATTAATAATATCATCTATTGATTACTTACTATTGTACTGAGCTCATATTATACATATTACTTCATTAATCCTTATAATAATCTTGTGAGACAGCTATTATTAGTTTCCCCTTCTTGCAGATGAGAAAATCAAAACTTACAGAGTTTGAATGACTTGCCCAAGATCACACTGCAAATAAGTGATGGCATATCTGACTCTATAGGTTTTGCTCCCGGCCACTACTTTAAATTGCCTCTACTAATGAATCTGAGATCAAGACTGCTTCATCTGCGATATTCAGCTATTTCATTACTCAGGAGCTTGAACACCTGTTGGATAATGGCCTGCCACTGGGGCTAGCTTTACAGGTGGTCCGTGCCAGTTTTCCCCACATGCCTCAACATGATTTAAATATTCAACACCAGGCATTTTTAAAAAGAAAAGAAAAAATGCAACATACAAATAACCCAATTTAAAAATGAGTAAATGTAGCCGGGCATGGTGGCGGGCACCTGTAATCCCAGCTACTTGGAAGGCTGAGGCACGAGAATCGCTTGAACCCAGGAAGCAGAGATTGCAGTGTTGCAGTGAGCCAAGTTTGCACCAATGGACTCCAGCTTGGGGGGACAGAGCAAGACTCTGTCTCAAAAGGAAAAAAAAAAAGCCAAAGGCAGAGAGAAAAATTTAAAAAAAAATAAAGGGTTTGAATAGACATTTCTCCAAAGAAGATATGCAAATGGGCACATAAAAAGATGCTCAGTATTACTAATCATTAGGGAAATGCAAATCAAACCAATAAAATAACACCTCACACTCATTGAAATGGCTACTATTTTTAAAAAATGATAAGTATTGGCAAGGATATGAAGAAATTGGAACACTTGTGCACCACTGGTGGGAATGTAAAGCAATACAGCCACTACAGTAAACAGTATGGCAGTTTCTCAAAAACTTGGAAATAGAATTAACACATGATCCATCAATTCCACTTCTAGGTATAAACCCAAAAGAATTGAAAGCAGGGTCTCATAGAGATATGCCATTCATAGCACCATTATTCACAATAGCCAAAAGGTAGAATCAACCAAACTATCCATCAACAGATGAACAGATAAACAAAATACGATGTATATGTGCAATGGAATGTTATTCAGCATTAAAAAGGAGGGAAACTCTGACACACACCACACCATGGAGGAACCTCGAGGATATTATGCTAAGTGAAATAAGCCAGACACAAAAAGACAAATATTGTATGATTTCACTTATATAAGGTACTTAGAGTGGTCAAATTCACAGAGACAGAAAGTAGGATAGTGTTTGCCAAAGGCTGAGAAGAGAGAGAACTAATTGTTCAATAGGTACTGTCAATCTAGAACAATTATGAGGCAAGTTTCAATCATTTCAGGAGGCTTATTTGCCAAAGTTAAGGATGCACGCCTAGAAGATAGGTCTATGCCTTCTCTGAAGATGATTTGGGGGGCCACAAATTTAAAGGGGAAAGGGTGGGATATTGAGAATTACACAATTTTCATGTAAGAGGGGGCAAGAAAAAATACTCGTTCATGCCTTTGTCTATCTCAGTGAATCTGCATTTCTTACATAAGATGACACAGACAAAGGGGACAGAGGAAAAATCCAGGGAATCTGCATTTTTACCTAAGATGACATAGACAAAATGGGGCAGGGGAACAATCAGATATGCATTTGTGGCTGGTGGGCAGGGGGATGACTGTACCTGTAAAGATAAACTATCATTTTACTTTGCCATGGTGAAATTTTAACAGAAACACCTTAGGGTAAAGATCTTGGAACTCACTAGGAATTTCCTTGTGGGCAAAATATCAGGGAGGTGTGTGGCTTTTCATCTTGTAGCCATCTTATTTGGGAACCAAAAGGGGAGGCAGGTTTGCATGACCCAGTTCCCAGCTTAACTTTTCCCTTTGGCTTCATGAGTTTGGGGTCCCTAGACTTATTTCTTTTTCATAGTACAGAGTTTTTGTTTTGCAAGATAAAGAGCTCTGGTGATGGATGATGGTGATGGTTGCACAACAATATGAATGTATTTAATGTCACCGAGCTGTACACTTAAAAATGATTAAGATGGTACATTTTTGTGTTACGTGCATTTTACCGCAATTTAAGCATTTTTAATGAAGTTAAAATACAAAGCCTTAAACACTTAAAAGAAAGGAAAGGAGATGATTTTGAGTGAATGGACAAAAAGCAAAAAAGAGAAATGGCACCCCATTGCTTACTTCCCACCCCTGACGCCATGTCTTTGCTCCTCTTGTCACTTTGCACAGCTCTCCCCTCCCCTCCATGTCAAATCATGTTTTTCAAAATCCATCTCAAATATCATATCTTGATTTCTTGATTCACTCAAATAAAAATCCTTCCCACCTGTGAATTTCTTTTTTTTTTTTTTTTTTTTTTTTGAGATGGAGTCTCGCTCTGTCACCCAAGCTGGAGTGCAATGGCACGATCTCAGCTCACTGCAACCTCCACCACCTGGGTTCAAGTGATTCTCCTGTCTCAGCCTCTGGAGTAGCTGGGACTACAGATGCACGCCACCACGCCTGGCTAATTTTTGTATTTTTAGTAGAGACGGGATTTCACCATGTTGGTCAGGCTGTTCTCCAACTCCTGACCTCAAGTGATTCACCCACCTTGGCCTCCCAAAGTGCTGGGATTACAAGCGTGAGCCACCGCGCCCGGCCCCCACCTCTAAATTTCTATAGTCCTTTATCTATACCTCTCATTTATCTTCTCAGTGCATTATACTTACATGCAAGCTTTAGCTCCCCTAAAAGATGAGATATTCTTCGATTGTCTAACCCTGTGTGGTTACTTCAATATCCTGTCATACCAGTGTCCATATAAACTTTACTTCTAAGCTACTCATCCTCTTTCCTTAAAATGAATTTCATCCTGTACTTTATTCTCCTAGCTTCCGACTTTCCTGACCCTTACCACACATGTTAAATTTGACTCAGCACTGTCCCTTATTCAAGATATAATAAGTATTTACTGTGTGCCAGACATGAGCTAGACTTTGACGACATTGCCTGTGTCCCTTTACTCTCAGCCCCCAACAATAATTCATTTTCTTCCACTCACTGCACTATTTCAAACTTTCCTTAGTAAACAACCTCTCTGAATTGACTCAGCTTTGAAACTCGCCTTTTCCGCATCTAGCTACCCCTTCCCTCATAGACAAGGCTTCCATTAGGATACTTCCAGATACAAGTTACAAAAAGAAAAAAGTCTGACGAATAGAGGCTTAAGCCACAAAGATATAACTTTGTGAGCAAAAAGTCTACAGGTAAGTGGCCCCAAGCAGTTTAGAGGCTCAAAGTTGTCAGCGCTCCAGGGCAGAGTCACTGAGATTCTCTTGGCTTTTACTGCAAGGTCACAAGATGGCTGCCATAGCTCCGAGCAGTACTTCCTCCTACTAATGTACTTAGCAAAAAGGAAAGGAAGAGTCAGAAAGTACCCCCAACCCCAATGTTTTCTCTATTATCAAGGAAATAAAATGATTCTCACAGACTTTGCAGAGGCTTGCCTTGTATTCCATTGCCATAACCGGAACCAAGCCCACCCCTTCCCACCGGCAAAGAATGAGGCTAACGTGATTGCTTTAATCGGTTAGGGGTTAAGCCCTTGCACCATGGGGCAGGTCTAACTTCCTTGAGCCCACTGCTGCCCAATACCTCAAAAAAAGCAAGATTCAGTTAGCAAGAGGGAAGACAGGCCGCCTTTTTAGGTAGATGAACATTTGCATCTGCCGCAAAACCATCTGAGACTCCAGGAGCAGAAATCAGCCCACACCAGCCAGTCATATCTGACTCACTTAACTTCTATCACTTTGTCACACAGGGTGCTCAGTCCTGTTTCAAATGGATGAAAGGCTTAAAGATGGCTTGAGAAGATGGCAAAACATAAGAACAATGTTTCAGTACCCATGTGTGGGATCAGGGATGGTGTGTATGTGTGTCTAGTAAGAGGTATTAGGGTTGGATACAGTAAACATGAGTCATACTGATCTCCGAAAGACTAAATTTTTTAAACTGCACATATAAAGTTATATAATAATTATTCATAATTCTAAAAAGTCATGTATGGGATACACGGAAATATATAATATGATGATTATAGTTGGGAAAGACTTCATAGAGATAGTAAATGTTCAAAGGGAGTCTGAAGAAGAAAGGAAACAATAAGGAAATTAGTTAAAAGGGGCCCAGGAATGAGGACTGAACTAGAACAAGAAATGTCATGTAAAGGTTGTGTTTTCACCCTTTTTTTTTTTTTAATTGCATTATCTTCCACTCCTAGAAACCTCTCATCATTCTTTGCTAAACTTGTTTTATAAATAGATAGTCAATCCACACTCCTTCACTCCTCACTTCTTAGTCACTCTTCCACCCTGGGCATTTTAGCTTTTACCCTCCTCATTCTACTAGAATAGAAAAGGAAACATGCTGGGTGTGGTGGCTCACATCTGTAATCCCAGCACTTTGGAAGGCTGAGAGGGGAGGATCACTTGAGGCCAGGAGTTCAAGACCAGCTTGGGCAACGTAGCAAGACCCCATCTCTAGAAAAATAAAAAAGTAAATAAAAGAGAAAAGGAAACATCCATGGACATTACCTACTCTACAAGCCATCTCTTCTCCCCCTGCTCATCTATCTCAACACATAGAACCTCATTCCGGTGATAAGATGTACAGAAGAAACTGCCTCTGCATGATGGGAGACACTAAAAGACATTTTGAACTTTAAAATTATAGAACTTGTTATATCCACAACCATGCTATGGGTAATGTTTTTCTCTTTCATCCCTCAGTGCCAGTTTTTCTTATCAAAATCTGCCTCTTAGATTTTCACATTCCCTAAATTGATGTGCTTCGGAAAGCAGATTAGCAGGCCAGGCACAGTGGCTCATGCCTGTAATCCCAGCACTTTGGGAGGCCGAGGCAGGTGGATCACAAGGTCAGGAGTTCAAGACCAGCCTGGTCAATATGGTGAAACCCCATCTCTACTAAAAATACAAAAATTAGCTGGGCATGGTGGTGCGTGCCTATGGTCCCAGCTACTCGGAGGCTGAAGCAGGAGAATCGCTTGAACCCGGGAAGCGGAGGTTGCAGTGAGCCGAGATCACACCACTGCACTCTAGCCTCGGCAACAGAGCGAGACTCCATCTCAAAAAAAAAAAAAAAAAAGAAGCAGATTAGCTCAGAAATTCTTTATTAAAAAAATAGACAAATACAAGACACAAGTCTGAACTGAAAGAAATACAGAGTATTAGATAGTGCTCCTAGAGACTGGGCAAACCCCTGAAATTCTTGGGTGTCAGTTTTCCCAAGAAAACATTTCCCAGTTTTTTAAATGTGGAAAAATTGACACCCAAGAATCTCTAGGATTCTTGAAAGAATCCTAGAAGTTTCTCCTAGAAGGAGAAAGAGAGCTAGATCTCTGTAGGACCTTTCAGCCCCAAAGGTTTATAATTTTATGAAATGTCTGTCTCAAAAAAAATCACCAATGACTCTTTTAATTGTTACATATAGAATCCTTTAGTCACTTTTCATTTTTCTTTGCCTCTACAGTATTTGGCACTCTTAACCACATTTTCTTCCTCCCCTTGACTTAAATGAAATGTGATTTTCTTTCTTTTTTTTTTTTTTTTGAGACAGAGTTTCACGTTGTCACCCAGGCTGGAGTGCAGTGGTGTGATCTCAGCTCACTGCAACCTCTGCCTCCCGAGTTCAAGCGATTCTCCTGCCTCAGCCTCCTGAGTAGCTGGGATTATAGGCGTGCACCACCATGCCTGGCTAATTTTTGTATTTTTAGTAGAGACGGGGTTTCACCATGTTGGTCAGGCTGGTCTCGAACTCCCAACCTCAGGTGATCCGCCCACCTCAGCCTCCCAAAGTACTGGGATTACAGGCATGAGCCACCACACCCAGCCAGACAGACACTTTTCAAAAGACATACATGTCGCAAACAAGCATTTGAAAAAAAGCTCAACATCACTGATCATTAGAAAAATGCAAATCAAAACCACAATGAGATACCATCTCACACAAGTCAGAATGGCTATTAATAAAAAGTCAAAAAAATAACAGATGCTAGTGAGGTTGCAGAGAAAAAGGAACACTTAAACACTGTTAGTGGGAGTGTAAATTAGTTCAACCATCGTGGAAAACAGTGTGGTGATTTCTCAAAGATCTAGAGGCAGAAATACCATTTGACCCAGCAATCCCATTACTAGGTATATACCCAAAGGAATATAAATCTTTCTATTACGAAGATATATGCGTGAATATGTTCATTGCAGCACTATTCACAACAGCAAAAACATGGAATCAACCCAAATGCCCATCAACGAAAGACCGGATAAAGAAATGTTGTACATATACACAGTGGAACACTATACAGCCATAAAAAGGAATGAAATCATGTCTTTTGCAGGGACATGAATGGAGCTGGAAGCCATTATCCTCAGCAAACCACTGCAGGGATAGAAAACCAAACACCTCATGCTCTCACATATAAGTGGGAGCTGAACAATGAGAACACGTGGACACATAGCAGGGAACAACACGTAGTGGGGCCTGTTGGTGAGGGCAGAGGGAAAGCATCAGGAAGAATAGCTAATGAATGCTGGGCTTAATACCTAGGTGATGGGATGCTCTGTGCAGCCACCACCATGGCACACATTAACCTGTGTAACAAATCCGCATATCCTGCACATTTATCCCTGAACTTAAAATAAAAGTTGAAGAAAAAAACATTGTTAATGAGGCAGATGACTCTGGAGGAAACATTTTGCAAAACCATCCAACAGAATGCCTCCTCATCCCTAGAGGACCCGGTTCCTGGTCCCTCAACTGCTTCTTATGTTTCTTTCTCACCTGAAAAAAATAAAATACAGTGGACAGTAACCTTTTAATCAAAACGCAGCATGGTAGTTAGAGACATTAGGCCCTAACGGAGGGTGGAGGTTGGGAGGAGGTAGATAAATCTGGAAAAACAACTAATGGGTACTAGGCTTAATACCTGGGTGACAAAATAATCTGTACAACAAACCTGCGCGTGTACCCTTGAGCTTAAAATAAAAATTTTTTAAAATTGTTCAAAGTTGGCCAGGCACAGTGGCTCACGCCTGTAATCCCAGCACTTTGGGAGGCCAAGGCGGGTGGATCATGAGGTCAGGAGATCGAGACCATCCTGGCTAACACAGTGAAATCCTGTCTCTACTAAACACACAAAAAAAATTAGCTGGGCGTGGTGGTGGGCGCCTGTAGTCCCAGCTACTTGGGAGGCTCAGGTAGGAGAATCCCAGGAGGTGGAGGTTGCAGTGAGCAGAGATTGTGCCACTGCACTCCAGCCTGGGTGACAGAGCGAGACTCCGTCTCAAAAAAAAAAAATTGTTCAAAGTTATGATTTTAAGATTAAAATTGAAGTGTCAGTAGTATGTGAGAAAGGTTAAAGGTGAAATAAAACTATGTGTTGGCCCTGACCAATTAGGAAGTCGTTGCTACTGCCCAATCAAGAGAACAAAACTTGGGAACTTGTTGTAGAAGGCAAGAGAGGGAGAAAAGAAATGAACCATTGCATCAAGATTTTGAGCCTGAGTTTTCCTAAGAAACTGAGGGAAGCATGAGTCATAGACAATTTTAGCAAAGTCAAGAGAAGGACCAAATGTTGATGGACACAGAACGAGTTTGGGCTTAACCCAGTGTGATGGTTTATATTGACTGCCAACTTGATTGGACTGAAGGATGCAAAGTATTGTTCCTGTGACGGTGTTGCCAAAGGAAATTAACATTTGAGTCAGTAAACTAGGAGGGCAGACCCACACTCAACCGGGGTGGGCACTGTCTAATCAGCAGCCAGTGCAGCTAGGATAAAAGCAGGCAGAGGAACTTGGAAGGACTGGACTGGCTGAGTCTCTCTTGCTGGATGCTTCCTGCCCTCGAACATTGGACTCCACGTTCTTCAGGTTTTGGACTCTTGGACTTACACCAGTGGTTTGCCAGGGGCTCTTGAGCCTTCAGCCACAAACTAAAGGCTGTACTATTGGCTTCCCTATTTTTAAGGTTTTTGGGACTCCAGCTGGCTTCCTTATCCCTCAGCTTGCAGATGGCCTGTTGCGGGACTTCACCTTGTGATGGTATGAGTCAATACTCCTTAACAAACTCCCTTTCATATATACATCTATCCTATTAGTCCCTCTAGAGAACCCTGACTAATACGCCTAGCTGTTAAGACTTGAAACTTCACCATCATCTTTGTTTCCTCCCCTCAACAAATAACCAGTATGCATTCAACTAACTTTTTTTTTTGAGCCAGAGTCTCACTCTGTTGCCCAGGCTGGAGTGCAATGGCATGATCTCGGCTCACTGCAACCTCCACCTGCTGGGTTGAAGAGATCTCCTGTCTCAGACTCCTGAGTAGCTGGAATTACCGGCACGTGCCACCACGCCCAGCTAATTTTTGTATTTTTAGTAGAGATGGGGTTTCACCATGTTGGTCAGACTGGTCTCAAACTCCTGACCTCAGGTGATCCGCCTGCTTCAGCCTCCCAAAGTGCTGGAATTACAGGCGTGAGCCACCACACCCAGCCTCAACTAACTATTTTTTGAGCATTCATTCTTTCTAAATTAAAACAATAAAAGACAGCAGTAGTTCACAGAAGCCACACTTCGCAATTTCTACCCTCCTTTCCATTTTATCAGCCATGGCATTTCCCAGTCTCCCTACCTTCGGCCTCATCCTCCAGCAGTATGTCTTACACACCACTGCCAGTTACGTCTTCCCAAAGCACAGGCCTGATGGTGTCTTTTGTTTTCTTGACAACTTCCGTTTATTGCTGAAGAAAATATCAAGCCGTCCACAATGTGCTCCCAGTCTACCCTTGCTGCTTTCTCTCATGTTTAGTGGGTGCTTAAGAAACACTCGTGGGTCATGGGGGTAGAGGGGGTAGGAGTACAATGGCTTGGCAAAAGGACAGTCATTACTGGCTATGATATAAATTTTTATGCTCCAGTCTATAATCCAAGAATATGTCATTTTGTTCAATCCACTTTAGCATCTAATTGGGTAAAAGTGAAAACTCAGTCCTCTTATTTGGGGCTTTTAAACAATGTCTTAGGGATTTATAAAGTTCCCAGAGTTTCAGAGTTAGGAACACTCAGTTTAAGGCAAAGCCAGGTATTCTTTCCTCATTTTGGAACTGTTTCTTACTCAGAAGCTAAAGAAAAATATTCATTAATCCCTACCAGTTTTTCACATACTAATGTGAAATGCAGAGGCATTTTAGATTGATGCCTCATCACTTAGTCATTCATAAATGTTAGAACATTCAGCTCAAAAATAGATAAAGTTCTCGCCCTGTTTATTATTTCTGATCATTCCATTGTCTACAGCAGCAAGTCCACGGCCCACCAGATCAGCTGACTGCTGTTTTTAGTGTCTATACAAATTTTTCTCTTCACAGTTTTCTAAAATGTATCTGCCAACCAATGGTGACATAAAATTAGTAAGCATTAAGGAAATAAACTGAGGACTAGTTATTTCCCCCATATAGAAGGTGGTAAAAGCTACGATTTAAAATGAAGGGCCACGCGCAGTGGCTCATGCCTGTAATCCCAGAACTTTGGAAGGCCCAGGCAGGTGGATCACCTGAAGTCAGGAGTTTGAGACCAGCCTGGCCAACATGGTAAAACCCTGTTTTTACAAAAATATTTTTAAAAATTAGCCGGGTGTGGTGGCACATGCTTGTAATCCCAGCTACTTGGGAGGCTGAGGCAGGAGCATCACTTGAACCCGGGAGGCGGTGGTTGCAGTGAGTCGAGATTGCACCACTGCACTCCAGCTTGGGCGTCAAGAATGAAACTCTGTCTCAAAAATAAAATAAAATAAAACATTTCATTTTATGTTCAGATTGTAGAAGCATAGGACAGATATAATGAATAAAAGGTAAGTAAAATGACATTTGAGAAACACGAGGAGGAAAAGCAACCAACATTTCTCGGGCATTGAGGAATATGTCCTGTAGTTCCCACACTAGCCTGTGATTAGTGGCTAATCTAGCTGCATTGTCTTCAGCAGAGTGTCCTTAACCAAATCTGTTGGTTCCACCTACACAATGATGGTCCCTGGAACCAACGGTAATCCCATTTCCTCTGTGCGCTTTTCTTTATAATTGATTGTTCTTCCTCTGCATAACTACATATACTTCTCTTGTCTACATGTCCGTTAATAGCCTAACTTCCTCTTCTCTTTTGTTTGTAATTTGGGTGTGTCCATGTTACTTAGCAAATGTATTTCTTAAAAGTTTGTATATCAAATATTTATGAACTTAGTCATAGTATAAATGTACTGGTGAAATTGCCGTTTAAAGACATCTTTGATGAATGCTATTATAAGGTAAAAATCCTGAAAGTAGGCCTGGCACGGTGGTTCACGCCTATAATCCTAGCACTTTAGGAGGCCGAGGCAGGTGGATCACCTGAAGTCAGGAGTTCAAGACCAGCCTGGGCAACATGGTGAACCCCGTCTCTACAAAAAAAACAAAAATTAGCTGGGCGTGGTGGCAGGCACCTGTAATCCCAGTTACTCAGGAGGCCGAGGCAGGAGAATCATTTGAACCCGGGAGGCGGAGTTTGCTGTGAGCCAAGATCACATCATTACACTCCAGCCTGGGCTGGAGTCATGAAGGAAGAGGCCCCATGAATGAGATTAGTGCCCTCATAAAAGAGACTCCAGGCCAGGCATGGTGGCTCACACCTGTAATCCTAGCACTTTGGGAGGCTAAGGCAGGAGGACTGCTTGAGATCAGAAGTTCCAGACCAACCCGGCCAACATAGTGAGACCCCATCTCTATTTTTTCAAAAATAATTAAAAACCAAAAAATTACAATTAACAGAAAGGAGACAACAGATAACTCATGGCCCTATCTGCCCTGTCTGTGAGGAAGCAGGCCCTCACCAGACACCAGTCCTTTGATTTTGGACTTCCCAGCTCCAGAACTGCGAGAAATAAATTGCTTTTCCTTATAAGCCACCCAGTCTATAGTAATTTGTTATAGCAGCCCAAACTAAGACACGAACTTTCCAAACCTACTTTTACTTTTTTTTTTCCTAAGCAAGACATCTTAAGCATTGTTATTCTTTGGATACCTAAGTTTTAGCTCACCGCAGATGGTTATGAAGGGAGTCTCGACCTTCATCACAGACTCATTGAGTTTTCTTGGCATCAGTCTGCAGCATTCTTACTTTTAAGTTCACAGTACTCTCTTTTTATGAGTCATATAACTTTAAATGCACTGACAGTTTCATCATCATTATCATAGTTTTAGCATGTAGAGTTTAGTTTAGGCTCTCTTTGAATTCACTGAAACCACCTGGTCCTAGAAACAACTAAACAAAGGTGTTTATATTGGAAGCACTCAAAAAGATCAAATGTCAGGGTCAAATCCTGTTTGTTGTTTTCTTCATTCTTTTAGCATTTCTGGTGAATGAGGTATGCAAGAACTGAAGAATACATGCTCTAACTGATGGGAAAGAGAAAGAAGGCAAACGACATCTTATTTCAGTCATTTAAAAATCACAAAGTTTCAAATGAAAAGGAGAATCCCCTAAAACCACCACTTGGTGTCACTGCTGTAGCTCAGCCCCCACTTCAGAGGAGAAAAGAAGCCGGTGCCCTCCTAAATCAGTCGCAGGAAAAGAAAAACAAGGGGAATAATGTTATATATTTTCATGGATTTTTTAAAAGGTAATCTTTTATTTTATTTTCTTTTATTTTATTTATTTATTTTATTTTGACTGAGTCTTGCTCTATCACCCAGGCTGGAGTGCAGGGGCGCAATCTCAGCTCACTGCAACCTCTGCCTCCTGGGTCCTGCCTCAGCCTCCTGAGCAGCTGGGATTACAGGCAACCGCCACCACGCCCGGCTGATTTTTGTATTTTTAGTGGAGACAGGGTTTTGCCATGTTGGTCAGGCTGGTCTAGAACTCCTGACCTCAGGTGATCCTCCGGCCTCGGCCTCCCAAAATGCTGGGATTACAGGCATGAGCCACCACACCCGGCTTCAATTTTAAATTGGGTTATTCCATCATGTTTCTTTTTCTTGCTCTGTAGAGAGAGGAGAATTACAAGAAGGGGCTGAACAGATACTACTGGACACAGGCAAACATTTAGGGCCCATTTCTGCCATTCTCAAATGTAGATTTGCATCAAAATTCATCTAAGGATCTTTTTAAACACACAGATCACTGGATTCCACCCTGGAACTAAGAATCAGAGTCACTGGGGTGGGGTACAGGCATTTATATTTTTATAAGTTTCTCAAAGTGATTCTGAATATTAGTGAGGTTGAGAAATCTCTGTTCTACTTTGCCCTACATCTCTCTTAATTTATAATATTAGAGAATGAAAGCTGACCTCTCTGATTCTATAAAACCCAACAATTTTATATTTTCACATCCTCACATGTCACTCAAAATGAAGTTTTGGATGTACACTATCCTTCACTCATCCCTTCTTTCTTTCACCTTCTTTTCTTCATGTCACCTCTTTATTTTTCTCTTCCTTAATTATTATATAGTGTATACTCGCTTCATAACAATAATTATATATTATGCTTTACTTACATGTCTATTTTCTAACTGAAGGAAAACTGAGCTGGCCTCACATCCCTTTGTTATTTGATTCTCTCTTCTATGATGAGCACTATCTTAGTTGCTCATCAGCAGCATTATTCCTCATTAAAAAACAAAAAACATCCTTTGTTGGCCAATTATATGCCTGATTCTATATAAAACATTTCACATACACATATTTTTTCACAAAACTCTATGTGGATAGTACCATTAACACACCTTTACAGATGAAGAAATTTAAGCCAAAATAATGCCACTCCACCCTTAATTAACTCAGTCTTAAAGTCTGAAATACTAATGCAAATACCTTGTCTGGTTTTCACTCTCTCCTCTAGATGCTGCTTTGTCTCACTAGAACTATCACCTTGCTGCTGACCAATTAATTGTCCAGTGTGCAGACTTCAAGGAAAATTAGACTAAAAGTTAAATATAAAAAGCTCTATATAATGGCCGGGTGCAGTGGGTCACACCTGTAATCCCAGCATTTTAGGAGGCCGAGTGGGTGATCACTTGAGGTCAGGAGTTCAAGACCAGCCTGGCCAACATGGTGAAACCCCATCTCTACCAAAAAATACAAAAATTTGCTGGGCATGGTGGTGTGCACCTGTAGTCCCAGCTACTTGGGAGCCTGAGGCACAAGAATTGCTTGAACCCTAGAAGCCGAAGTTGCAGTGAGCTGAGATCATGCCACGCCACTACTCCAGTCTGGGCAATAGAGTGATACCCTGTTTCCAAAAAAAAAAAAAAAAAAAAAAAAAAAAGCTCTATGTAATGACATAAGATGCAATCTTCTTGATGAGTAGTATTGTTTTTGGTTGCTAGGGAAGAAAAGCCAGGGGCAAACCACAGAACTGTAAGCCAACTGCCCTTTAATAATCCAATAAACTTAAGATATTTCACAATATTTTGCTGGGAGTGAGGGACAGAACAACCTGTACATTGGACAAAGAACCCAATAAGTGACCCCCACCTTTGGATAATAAATTGAAGGTGTTGAAGTTGATGTATTTTTGTTTGATAAATCTTGTAGTCTTTCAATAACAGTACATTTTAGCTCTTCTGTAGGAAATGTCAACAATCTCAAATTTCTTGCCTGCTTTCAGACTTCAAAGGAGATGGGTGACTAAAAACAGACTCACCCAACCAATCATTTATGTAAGAAATACTGATTTGATTTTAGCACACTGCCTAATTCTGCCTTCTTCCTGACACAACAACTGGGAAGAATATCAAAGCAAAAATTGCATTGCTAAGTCTGATAATAGCCAAAATAATGATTATACTAGCACCAGATACTCGAAACACTGCCAACAGAAAGAAAACAGATATTGTTCATTTTGCTTACTTGAGTAAAACCGAAAAAGAAATTCTGAATCCCTGCCGAGTGCTAGGGCCTATATCTGGTGATCATCCAGCTGTGATTTTTTTTTAATTGAGGTGACATTTATATAACATAAAATTAACAGTCTTAATTCAATGGCATAATTACACTCACAGTGTTGTACAACCACCACATCTAACTAGTTCCTAACTGTTTTTTATCACCCCAAAAGGAAACCCTATACCCATTGAACAGTCACTCCCCATTCCCTTCCCCTCCAGCCCCTGGCAACCACCAATCTGCTTTCTGTCTCTATGGGTTTACCTATTCCAGATGTTTCATATAAATGGAATCATACAATATATGACTGTATTAGTCCATTTTCACACTACTGATAAAGACATACCCGAGACTGGGAAGAAAAAGAGGTTTCACTGGACAGTTCCACATGGCTGGGGAGGCCTCACAATCATGGCTGGAGGTGAAAGGCACTTCTTACATGGAGGCAGCAAGAGAAAATGAGGAAGATATAAAAACAGAAACCCCTGATAAAACCATCAGGTCTCGTGAGACTTATTCTTACTACCACAAGAACAATATGAGGGAAACCACCCCCAGGATTCAATTATCTCCCACCAGGTCCCTCCCACAACACGTGGGAATTATGGGAGTACAATTCAAGATGAGATTTGGGTGGGGACACAGAGCCAAATCATATCATTCCACCCCGGCCCCTCCAAATCTCATGTCCTCACATTTCAAAACCAATCATGCCTTCCCAACAGTCCCCCAAAGCCTTAACTCATTTCAGCATTAACCCAAATGTCCACAGTCCAAAGTCTCACCTAAGACAAGCCAAGTTCCTTCCCCCTGTGAGTCTGTAAAATCAAAAGCAAGCTAGTTACTTCCTAGATACAGTAGGGGTACAGATATTGGGTAAATACAGCTGTTCCAAATGGGAGAAATTGGCCAAAACAAAGTGGTTGCAGGGCCCATGCAAGTCCAAAATCCAGTGGGGCAGTCAAATTTTAAAGCTCCAAAATGATCTCCTTTGACTCCAAGTCTCACATCCAGGTCACACTGATGAAAGAGGTGGGTTCCCGTGGTCTTGGGCAGCTCCGCCTCTATGGCTTTGCAGGGTACAGCCTCCCAGCTAATTTCAAGGGCTAACATTGAGTGTCTGTGGCTTTTCCAGGTGAATGGTGCGAGCTGTCAGTGTATCTACCATTCTGAGGTCTGGAGGATGGTGGCCCTCTTCTCATAGCTCCACTAAGTGGTACCTCAGTAGGGACTCTCTGTGGGGGCTCTGACCCCACATTTCCCTTCTGCGCTGCCATAGCAGAGGTTCTCCATGAGTGCCCTGCCCCTGCAGCAAACTTTTGCCTGAGCATCCAGGCATTTCCATACATCTTCTGAAATCTAGGCAGAGGTTCCCAAACCCCAATTCTTGACTTCTGTGCACTCACAGACTCAACATCATGTGGAAGCTGCCAAGGCTTGGGGCTTGCACCCTCTAAAGCCACAGCCCAAGCTCTACGTTGGTCCCTTTCAGCCATGGCTGGAGCAGCTTGGACAAAGGGCACCAAGTCCTTAGGCTGCAAACAGCCTAAGTTTCATGGGCCCAGCCCATGAAACCATTTTCTCCTAGGCCTCCAGGCCTGTGATGGGAGGAGCTGCCGTGAAGACCTCTGACATGCCCTGGAGACATTTTCTCCATTGCCTTGGTGATTAACATTCAGCATCTCGTTGCTTATGCAAATTTCTGCAGGTGGCTTGAATTTCTCCTCAGAAAATGGGTTTTTCTTTTCTATCACATTGTCAGGCTGCAAATTTTTTGAACTTTTATGCTCCACTTCCGTTATAAAACTGAATGTCTTTAACAGCACCCAAGTCACCTCTTGAATGCGTTGCTGCTTAGAAATTTCTTCCACCAGATACCCTAAATCATCTCTCTCAAGTTCAAAGTTCCACAAATCCCTAGGGCAGGGGCAAAATGCCACCAGTCTCTTTGCTAAAACATATAAGAGTCACCTTTGCTCCAGTTCCCAACAAGTTCCTCATCTCCTTCAGGGACCACCTCAGCCTGGACCTTATTGTCCATATCGCTATCAGACTTTTGGTGAAAGCCATTCAACAAGTCTCTGGGAAAGTCTCTGGGAAGTTCCAAACTTTCCCACATTTTCCTATCTTCTTCTGAGCCCTCCAAACTGTTCCAACCTCTGCCTGTGACCCAGTTTCAAAGTCACTTGCATAATTTCGGGTATATTTTCAGCAATGCCCCACTCTACTGGTATCAATTTACCATATTAGTACATTTTCACGCTGCTAATAAAGATATATCCAAGACTGGGAAGAGAAAGAGAAGAGGTTTAATTGGACTTACAATTCCACATGGCTGGAGAGGCCTCAGAATCATGGCAGGAGGCAAAAGGCACTTCTCACATCATGGCAACAAGAGAAAATAAGGAAGATGCAAAAGCAGAAACCCCTGATAAAACCATCAGATCTCATGAGACTTATTCACTACCACAAGAACAGTATGGGGGAAACCATCCCTATGATTCAAATTATCTCCCACCGATTCCCTCCCATAACACGTGGGAATTATGGGAGTACAATTCAAGATGAGATTTGGCTGGGGACACAGCCAAACCATATCTCCTAACTTCTGTGTCTGGTTCATCTACTTAGCACAATGTTTTCAAGGTTCATCCATGTTATAGCATATATCAGTACTTCATTTCTTTTTATGGCTGAATAATATTCTAATGTATGTATATATCACAATTTGTTTATCCATTCATCTGTTGATAGATATTTGGGTCTCCACCTTTTGGCTATTGTAAATAGTGTTGCTGTGACATGTGAGGGCCGGGCGTGGTGGCTTATACCTATAATCCCAACACTTTGGGAGGCCAAGGTGGGTGGATCACTTGAGCTCAGGAGTTTGAGACCAGCCTGGGTAACATGGCAAAACCCCATCTATACAAAAAATACAAAAAAATTAGCCAGGCTTGGTAGCACACACCTGTGATCCCAGTTACCCAAGAGGCTGAGGTGAGAGAGTCACCTGAGCCTGACAGGTCAAGGCTGCAGTGAGCCATGATCATGCCACTGCACTCCAGCATGGGCAACAGAGTGAGACCCTGTCTCAAAAAAAAAAAAAAAAAAGACGTGCTTATGTATTTGTTTGACTATCATTTTTCAGTTCTTTTCGGCATATACCTGCTATAGTCTGAATGTTTGCATCCCCTCAAAATTCATAGGTTGAAACCTAATCCTCAATGCAATAGTATAAGAGGTAGTTGGAAAAGGGAGAAGTAGCTTTATAGCCTTTTCAGATAATGTGGGCATTTGCTTTAATGTTACATGAAAACTCAACAGATAGAAGAATCTTAAAGGCTGGTTGTGGCAGGGCACAGTGGCTCACACATGTAATCCCAGTAAGCTGCGAGGTCAAAGAGGGCAGATCACTTGAGGTCGAGAGTTAAGACCAGCCTGGCCAACATGGTAAAACCCTATCTCTACAAAAAATACAAAAGTTGGCCAGGTGTGGTGGCACACACCTATAATCCCAGCTACTCGGAAGGCTGAGGCAGGAGAATTCCTTGAACCCAAGCGGTGGAGGTTGCAGTGAGCCGAGATCACACTGCTGCAGTCTAGCTTGGGCAACAGCGTGAGCTCTATCTAAAGAATAAAAAAAAGGTTGCTTGTAATGTGGAATCTGAAACTATATTAAGTTTTCTTAATCAATTACATTAAAATCTATCTGTCTACTTTGCACTTTGAATAGATCTTTCAATCATGCATGATCATAACATTATAGATGTTGTTACCTTGAGTTATGTGTCTCCTCCACATGTTGATACATATATTATACAATGGCAAAAAAATCATATTTGTTAATACAACCATTAATCTCATTAGAAAAATATGGGAAGCTGGCTGGGTATGGTGGCTCATGCCTGTAATCTCAGCACTTTGGGAGGCCAAGGCGGGCAGATCACCTGAGGTTGGGAGTTCAAGACCAGCCTGGCCAACATGGAGAAACCCCGTCTCTACTAAAAATACACAATTAGCTGGGCGTGGTGGCACATGCCTGTAATCCTAGCTACTCAGGAGGCTGAGGCAAGAGAATTGCTTGAACCCGGGAGGCAGAGGTTGCAGTGAGCCAAGATCGCGCCATTGCACTCCAGCCTGATCAACAAGAGCAAAACTCTGTCTCAAAAAAGAAAAAAAAAAAAAAAAGAAAAATATGGGAAGCTGAGCATTCCAGGTCACAGTGGTGATAGATACATGTTGCTATGGTTTGGATGTTGTTTGCCTGTCCCCACCAAAACTCATGTTAAAACTTGATTCCCAATGTGGCAGCGCTGGGAGGCAGGGCATACTGGGAGGTATTTGGGATATGGGAACAGATACTTCATGAATGGCTTGGACTGTTTTCCCAGTAGTGAGTAGGTTCTCACTCTTAAGAGACTGGATTAGTCCTCTTGGGAATGTAGTAATTCTTGTGAGAAAGTGTTATTATAAAACTAGGACAGGGCGGGTGTGGTGTCTCACGCCTGTAATCCCAGCACTTTGGGAGGCCAAGGTGGGCAGATCACAAGGTCAGGAGATCGAGACCATCCTGGCTAACACAGTGAAAACCCGTCTCTACTAAATAATGCAAAAAATTAGCTGGGCGTGGTGGCAGGTGCCTGTAGTTCCAGCTACTCGTGAGGCTGAGGCAGGAGAATGGCATGAACCCAGAAGGCGGAGTTTGCATTGAGCCGAGATCGTGCCACTGCACTCCAGCCTGGGTGACAGAGCAAGACTCCGTCTCAAAAAAAAAAAAACAGGACAACAATCAGATTTTCCCCTCTTTATACAGGTCTGCTTACCTTTTGACCTTCTTCACCATGTTGTGATCCAACGTGAAAGCCCTTACCAGAAGCCAGGGCCATGCCTTTGGAGTTCTCAGCTTGCAGAACCATGAGCTAGATAAACCTCTTTTCTTCATGGATTGCCTAGTTTCAGGTATTCTTTTATAGCAACACAAAATGGACTAAGACACATGTTTTCCAAAATTCTAATTTTTTACCTAAAACCTTGAATCTTGCAATTTGTAACAAATATTTGTAGTTGATATCCTTGAATTGACATGCTTAATTCACTAATTTTCAAGAAAATACCTGCCAGTTACCCAAGCCTGAATAACTGTATTGTGTCAGTCATTCTTACAAGTAAAAATTGATATCAAATGAACAAAGGTGCTAGTTTCACTTAGAACTCAAACATTGCACGAATGCTTCTCAAAACAATCCTCACACTTCTAAGTGCAGCAGAAGTAATTCATGTGTAATTCTAAATTCATCATATAGAATATTTTTTAGTTTTGACACGGAGTTTCACTCTTGTTGCCCAGGCTGGAGTGCAATGGCACGATCTCGGCTCACTGTAATCTCTGCCTCCCGGGTTCAAGCGACTCTCCTGCCTCAGCCTCCTGAGTAGCTGAAACTACAGGTGCCCGCCACCATGCCTGGCTAATTTTTGTATGTTCAGTAGAGACAGGGTTTCACCATATTGGCCAGGCTGGTCTGGAACTCCTGACCTCAGGTGATCCACCTGCCTCGGCTTCCCAAAGTGCTGGGATTACAGGTGTGAGCCACCACGCCCGGCCTAGAATTTTTAAAAGGTATGTACTTGAGGGTCAAGGTTTAACAAAATTAATAATTTTTATGGTTCCATCAAGGACAACTCTAAATAAAACTGGTATCTCCTTTTTTACTGCAAGGATATGACAATGAAGAATACAATAACTACTAGTTCATTGCTAGCAATTTTACCCACCATTGCTTTTTATCATCAGGGCAAATGTCAACACAGGGAAAAAGGTAGATAAAGTCTCTGTATTATTATGAAAATAGTTTTACTTTGCAGAACTCTCTGAAAGGGTCTCAGAAATCCCTAAAAGTCTGTGGACCATGATTTTAAAACCATTAATTTAAATTTATAGACTAGCTAGAAAAATGTATACAGGAATATCTTTTTAAGAACAGGACTAGAAATTTGGAATTCCCAAGAAAATCAGTTGAAAAGCTGTCTTCTATCAGTTAATTTACATATATTACATAGATCCACAATTCGTCTGTATTACAAGAGTTGCTTGTGTTAAGACCTATAGGAGACTGAGACTAAGAAGGGAAAAGATGTAGTCTTTTTTTTTTTTTTGAAACTGGGTCCCACTCTGTCACCCAGGCTGCAGTACAATGGTGTTATCATGGTTCACTGAAGCTTCAATGTCCCCGAGGCTGAAACGATCCTCCCTCAGCTGAAGGGATCCTCTCTTCTCAGCCTCCCAAGCAGATGGGACTATAGGGGAACGCCACCATGCCCAGCTAATTTTTTTCTACTTTTTTTAGAGATGTGGTTTCGCCATGTTGCTGAGACTACTCTCAAACTCCTGGGCTCAAGCAATCTGCCTGACTCCCAAAGTGTAAGATTACAGGTGTGAGCCACCACGCCCAGCCTAAAAGAAGCAGTCTTTTTTTTTTTTTTTTTAAGACAGTCTCGCTCTTTTGCCCAGGCTGTAGTGCAGTGGCACCATCTCCACTTGCTGCAACCTCCGCCTCCTGGGTTCAAGCAATTCTCCTCAGCCTCCTGAGTAGCTGGGATTACAGATGCATTCCACCACACCCAGCTAATTTTTGTATTTTTAGTATAGAGACAGGATTTTGTCATGTTGGCCAGACTGGTCTCAAACTCCTGACCTCAGGTGATCCACCTGCCTCAGCCTCCCAAAGTGGTGGGATTACAGGCGTGAGCCCCCACACCTGGCCAAAGAAGCAGTCTTTACCTTCTAAACAACCAAACTTTTCAGGGGTCTTATGAATGGTGCTAAACATCCACCCTATATAACAAGTGCTTTTGCTACCATTCCCTCCTCTGTATCTGGCTGAGGAAACACAGGCTCTAGAGCCCTGAATTCTCTTTTTGATCCCATAATTCCTACACTGTACCTGTGGTCTCTTAGTTTGTCAATCCATCTCCACTTTCTTTTTCTTCCAGCCCATTCCAGAGATGACAAATAGACTGATATCTCAGAATCATACCTCTGAGCACGGTCAGTCCCCCAAAACTTTCTGTGACTCTCCACAGAATTCTGCGGTTTTCTTATAGAGTCCCCAGAGACATTTTTCCCCCTTTAAACAATATCCATACATTACCAAAGTTTGAGAATGTTGTTAAATACAATCCGCAGTCTTAACATTCAAGGCCTTTGGAGTTTGAACCTTAATTAAGTTTATTGCTTCTAAACTACTAATCCTTTTTATCTGTGATTTCCAAAATTGGCTATTCCTTAGAATCACCTTGAAAGCTTTTTGAAGCTACAGATTCCAGACCCCACCCTTCAGAGATTCTGATTTATTTCATCCGCAATGGAGCTCAGAAATCTGTATAATTTTTTAAAGTTTCCTCTTTGATTCTAATATTCAACTGAGTCTGGGAACACTAGCTTGAATTATTCTAGTCACACTGGTTTCCTTGTTAACCTTCCAACTATTACCCTTTTCCACCTCCACACTTCTGCTCTCTCTTACCCTCTACCCACTTGCCACCTAATCAAATCCTACCTACCCTCAAGCCCCTGCTCACTTAACACCCAACCATAGCCTCTACAAATCCTCCGATTACACCAATCTGAAAGCAATCTCTTACTCCTGCGACTTCAGAAATATTATTTATCTTTCCAATTTTGTGACACCCTTTACCACCTCCTTTATTTTTGCCTTGAGTAATTTTTGACATACTATTGTTATTTCACCTTTGACATATTTTGCTTTATGAGGAGACATATTTTGTACCCCTATCTGCAGCGAAAGCCCCTCCAGGGAAAGAATGTGACTTCTCCTCTTGGGATGCCAAGTTCATAGCTATTGTCTTGCATGTTGCTGGCTTAAAGACAATCTGTAGGCTGGGCGTGGTGGCTCACGCCTGTAATCCCAGCACTTTGGGAGGCCGAGACGGGTGGATCACCTGAGGTCAGGAGTTTGAGACCAGCCTGGCCAACATGGTGAAACCCCGTCTGTACTAAAAATACAAAAAAGTAGTCAGGCATTGTGGCACAAACTGTTGTAATCCCAGCTACCAGAGGCTGATGCAGGAGAATTGTTTGAACCCAGGACGTGGAGGTTGCAGTGAACTGAGATGGCGCCATTGGACTCCAGCCTGGGCAACAAGAGCGAAACTCCGTCTCAAAAAAAAGAAAAAAAATCTGTTAACTCTGATGCCACATATATAAAAATTCTAAAATATACAAGATAATATTTAACATTAATATAGTACTTTATGATTTTTTTTGTTTTTGAGACAGAGTCTCACTCCCTCACCCAGGCTGGAGTGTAGTGGCACGAACTTGGCTCACTGCAACCTCTGCCTCCTGGGTTCAAGCAATTCTCCTGTCTCTGCCTCCTGAGTAGCTGGAATTACAGGCCTGCGCCACCACGCCCGGCTAATTTTTGTATTTTTAGTAGAGACAGGGTTTCACGATGTTGGCCAGGCTGGTCTCGAACTCTTGATCTCAGGTGATCCACCTGCCTCAGCCTTCCAAACTGCTGGGATTACAGCTGTGAGCCACCATGCCTGGCCTAATTTTCGTATATTTAGTAGAGACAGGGTTTCGCCATGTTGGCCAGGCTGGTCTCAAACTCCTGACCTTGGGCGATCCACCTGTCTCTGCCTTCCAAAGTGTTAGGATTATAGGTGTGAGACACCACGCCCAGCCCTTTTATGATTTATAAAGAATTTTCATATATGTTATTTCACTTGTTTTATGATTTGTAAATAATTTTCATATCTGTTATTTCACTTGTCACGTTTACCCTATTAAATGTGTACTACGTATTACCCTCCTTTTCAAGGTAGGAAAATAAGGCTTGGAGAAGTCTAACAAACTGACCAAAGTTAAACAAGTAGTAAGGGGCCGAGTAAGGAAAATAATTCAGGTTTCTGTAACTCCAGAGGCTATGTTCTAAACCATCATGCTGTATTTCTTCATACCTCGTGCATGTATTATTCATTTTTAATACCCCAGTTTTTGTTTTCAGTATGTTATATATGCCAACAAACAAAAAAGGGGCATCTTTTCAGGACACTAGGCTGAGCTCTTTAAAAATGTTATGTCATCTCCTTTGATTATCAGGAAGCAAAAACATGACTCTAAAGATTCTAGGGAATGGGACAGGAGGAACCCATGAGGGCAGATGAAGTCAGCCTTACTAAGGAGAGGAAGCATGAACTGGATCTTAAAAGATGGGCAGAAATAAACTATGTAGCCACCAAAATAAAAGGAAATGAGCACCAATAATTTAGGGTATAATAAGAATTTTGGCCTGGCTGCTTTCGAATGTTGATGCTGAAGAGTTCCATACATTGAGATAAAGTCAGCTTGGTAAAGTGAGGCCCAGAAGGAAGGTCTTGGAATGCCATGATAATTAATGCTGTCTTGATCACTTAAGCAATGGAGACTTCAATGGGGTAACTTCCTCACTTAGTACTTTTCCAATAACATCCCTGACATTTTGTTTATGGAGTCAATAATTGCCTTGTTATTCATGACTCAAAAGTTCATTTTTTTCTGCTGAAGTCAACAAAATTGAAATATTCCCAAGGTTAATCAAAATAGCTAGCACATCATTTGAACCATTTTCTTTTTTTTTTTTTTTTTTTTCAGACAGAGTTTCCCTCTTATTGTCCAGGCTGGAGTGCAATGGCTCGATCTCAGCTCACTGCAACCTTCACCTCCCGGGTTCAAGCAATTCTCCTGCCTCAGCCTCCTGAGTAGCTGGGATTACAGGCATGCGCCACCACGCCCAGCTAATTTTGTATTTTTAGTAGAGACAGGGTTTCTCCATGTTGGCCAGGCTGGTCTCGAACTCCCAACCTCATGTGATCCACCCGCCTCGGCCTCCAAAAGTGCTGGGATTACAGGTGTGAGCCACCGCACCCGGACTTATTTGGACGATTTTCACAGAAGCTGTTGCCACAGTCACAACTGCAGAAGAATGTTCTTACATCCTCTTTTGTACCACAAAGTAACCACTGAGATTTCTATTTGACTTTGGCTCTGTAGCAAGAATATCCCTTCAAAAAGTTTCCTGCTACCTAAGCAAGAACACTTCAAGCTTAAAAAGAGTATTACTGAATAGGTTTTAAATTTGAACTAACTTAGTTCAATCCAGTGAAAATATTGGAGAATTTCAGTTGCTGCAGGAAATCTTGGCCTATAAAGATAAAACAAATGACCTTGGGGATTCAGAAGTATGTATTGTTTAGACCTATCCCTGAAACCATAAAATCCAGTTTCCCAAAAGGCCTTTGCCCTTTAGAGAATTGACACAGAAGCCCTAACTAAAGGGCGGTGGTTCTGGGAGATTTGCCAGAACTCAGCACTAAGCTCTGGGTTTCAGGTTCCAGAATCAAAACAGATTGGGGACACAGGTGATTGCTTAAACTTACCTTCACTTAACACTGTTATTCACAGCATTAAGTAAAATAATAATAATGAAATCATATAAATGTCTCAGAATCTCATGTTCATTATAAACCATCTTTCAGAAAAATACAAAAAGGTTTGTCCCCAAATTTAAACTCTATTTAAAAAGTAAGAAGCAGGCCAGGCGTGGTGGCTCACATCTTTAATCCCAGCACTTTGGGAGGCTGAGGTGGGTGGATTACCTGAGGTCAGGAGTTCAAGACCAGCCTGGCCAACATACTGAAACCCCGTTCTCTACAAAAATTCAAAAAGTATCTGGGCATGATGGCAGGTGCCTGTAATCCTAGCTACTCGGGAAGCTAAAGCAGGAGAATCGCTTGAACCCAGGAGGCGGAGGTTGCAGTGAGCCAAGATAGCGCCATTGCACTCCAGCCTGGGTGACAGAGTGAGACTCTGTCTAAAAAATTAAAAAAAAAAAAGGAGAGAAGCGTTAAAATTAAAATATCTTTCTGTTATTATTCATTTAACACATCTTGTAAGCTTACTCCATGTATGGATTCTAAGAATTACAGAAGAATTGGTGAACAAGACACAGTTTCTGCTTGCTTAGATCTTACATTCTACTAGGAAAGATAATACATATGAACACATACACCTCTGCAAACGAGAACATTATCAGTCATGCTAAGTACTTTGCAGAGAGTGACGAGGTGGCTTCTTCAGACTGTTGGCCAGGGAAATTCTTTCTGAGGAAGAGATATTTAAACAAATCTGAATGACAACAAGTGAAGCCCATGGAAATCTGTGGAAAACATATTCCAGGAAGTGGAAAGAATTAATGCACAGGTATATTTCTTCAAGAAATAATAAGGGAATCCCTACCTCTCAGCCTCACTTGGACAACTTTTAAATTAGGATCCTACTGCAGAACAGAAAATAATGGGAAAGCAGTGTAAAATAATGGGATTGGACAAATAAATTGCTGTTATTCTGAAATACAACAGCTATTCTCCAAATGAATAGCACACTTTCCTTCTTACTATTGTAAAGGTATCATGTATTTTTCTCTTATCATTGTAAGTAGGGATACCACAATAAAAGCATACTATTCATCAGTTTTGAAGTTCAATTGTGCATTTAGTATTTTCTATTATTAATGAGTATACTTTGAATAAAATACAAGATGATGACTGTTCAAGCATCAGTGACCTTACTAAGACAGGGAAGAAATTGGAACTCCACTCACTTCTGAACCAGCAGAGGAACAGCAGGGACTGCTTCACGTCTAGTGAAACATGTCATGATTCCTAGATACCCAAGTTTCCTGTGAATAGAGCTTAAGCTCCACTGATATCACAGGCAGAGAGCTATGTAAGAGACAACGTATCTCATCATGAGTAAATAAAGATTGCCTTCCTTTGACTTATTTCTTCCAGCCATCAAAAAGTAATAATAATCCTGACAACCTGTGAGAGATATGCCAACTCTAAAATAAAAAATAATAATAATAGTTACCATTTATTGAGCATTAAGGTGTTAAGATGGTTTGCAAAGACTGCCACAATATCTCCTCCCATCCCTGCATGCATACCCCTTGTAATACAACTTTATCTTTTCTCCCTTAAAAGGTGATGTCTCTTTCCCTGCCCTTTGAATCTGAGCTGGTCATGTGACATGCTTCATTCAGTAGAGTGTGGTCAAAATGAGGCCAGGTGTGGTGGCTCATGCCTGTTAATCCCAGCACTTTGGCAGGCCAAGGCGGGCAGATCACCTCAGGTCAGGAGTT
Source organism: Homo sapiens (assembly GCF_000001405.40). Lineage (NCBI taxonomy): Eukaryota > Metazoa > Chordata > Mammalia > Primates > Hominidae > Homo > Homo sapiens. The sequence continues at coordinate 32,904,724 of NC_000012.12, read as the reverse complement.
TGAGAACGGCCTGGCCAACATGGTGAAACCCCGTCTCTACGAAAAATACAAAAATTAACCAGACATGGTGGCAGGCATCTATGATCCCAGCTACTTGGGAGGCTGAGGCAGGAGAATCGCTTGAACCCAGGGGGCACAGGTTGCAGTGAGCCAAGATCATGCTATTGCATTCCAGCCTAGGTGACAGAGCAAGACTCCACAGAAAGAAAGGAAGGAAGGAAGGAAGGAAGGAAGGAAGGAAGGAAGGAAGGAAGGAAGGAAGGGAGAGAGAGAGAGGAAGGAAGGAAGGAAGGGAGAGAGAGAGAGGAAGGAAGGAAGGAAGGAAGGAAGGGGAGAAGGAAGGAAGGGAGGGAGGGAAGAAAAGAAAAGAAAAGAAAAAGAAAAAGTAAAGAAGGGAGGGAGGGAAAGAGAGAGCGAGGGAAGGGAGGAAGGGCAGAAGGAAGGAAGGAAAGGCGGGAGGGAGGGAGGGAAGAAAAGAAAAAGAAAAGAAAAGAAGGGAGGGAGGGAAAGAGAGAGCAAGGGAGGGAGGAAGGACAGAAGGAAGGAAGGAAATCTGTCAAAATAACATTTTGCTGGGAATCTAGACTTAAAGAGATCTAGATTGTGTCTGCTCTTGCTGTCTTAGAATACTACTCCTACTCAAGACCACCATGTGGAGAAGCCCAAACTAGCCTACTGGAGGATGAAAGGTCACATGGAAGGAGAGGCTCAGTCCTCGTAGTTGTTCCAGTCACACCAGTTGCAATCCCAGATGTGTGAGTATGGCTGTCTTAGACTATCCAGCCCCAGCCAAGTCACCTGCTGGCCTTAGCCACAAAAGTGAAAAAAGCCCAGGCCTGCAGAACTGGATCAACCACAAAATCATGAAAAAGAGATCATTTTTGTTTTAAGCTCTTAAATGTTGGGAAGGTTTTTTGTTTTATGTGTTTATGTTTTTCTTTTGCAACCATAGATAACTGATACACTAATTATAAACTAGGAGATCTAAGTACCTTATATTTAGTAACTAAGTGAATGTTCTGCCAATCCTAAGATGCCAATCCTAAGACGCCAATACTATTAATGATACCCTATTATAAACAAAAAGCTTGAAGCTCAGTGAATATAAATGACTTGCCTAAGGTCACATAGCAAAGCAACAAATCTAATCCAGCTCTGTCTGGCATCAAGAATATATTTTATCACTCTAGCATGTTATGATGATGTTGCAAATTTGTGAAAGAAAAAAGGGTGTCTGTGTGGGGCAGGGGGGCTTTTAGAATCCAATCCAGATTATTAGTATTACTTTTCTATATGAAATGTAATACTTCAGTTTTTTAATTTCAAGGAAATAATAGTGTGTATGGAAAAAAATGAGACATATTACAAATGCAAATTATTTGAGAATTTATATACCTATATCCATCAATATATACAGATAATATCCAAACAATTCAAAAAATATACATAGTGCAGTATTATTTAAACAATGCATGACAATGAGGTGCTATACTCTCTACAGAGTTATGAAAATCAATCCTACTGAGTTTCTCTGATATTTTCATAAGCTTAGAAATCACTAAACATTGTGTTCCCATAGCCGGCCCTCAAGTCACTTCGGCATATTGTTTCAGGCCAGGCCATGTCCTTCAGGATGTTTCCTTCTGCTCAGCTGCAGCTGGGCCCACAGGCAAACTAATTAATTGAAATACCTATAGGTGAGATAGTACACTCAATTCACTATTCATTTGAGCACCTGCTAGCTATCTCGGTGCTGGGTTCTATGGTAGAGACAAAGGAGTTCTGACCATGGTCCCTATTAAAGCCAAGAACCTATGGTAGGACTTGTCCATGCTGTGCTCACCCTTCAGCATCTCTGAACATCAGGTGAAAGATCTGACAACCATTAATGGGGCAGCTGTGGTCATCCATCCAGAAGGTATTCATTTTAACTAATGTACTGTGCTTCTGCATGCCCATGAGTCACGATTAAAGGGACTGTTTTGAAGCCTCCGTGACTATGAACAAATTTTTCATTGCCAGCCCTCAGGGTTGCCCACCTGATTTCCACCTCCTACACCACATTTGGGGTCTTTCAAAAAGAATAGGTTTCAAACCTACACGCCTACAATATATCCAAAATTGCAGACAAAATGAACATCTGAATGACATATAAACACCTTAACCCCCATTGCTGTTGAAAGTCCCCATCAGAGAGTGGTTTTCAGCATCTTACATGTGAATAGCTTCCTTTTCTAGCCCTGATCCAGTTTCATTACATGTGGTTAATGATAAAACTGCTACCAATTGCCTTGGCAACATATCTGTTTGCTAAAAGAGGGACTAAATTCTGAGGTTTGTTTTAAATTTTCTACCTGCCAGGTCCCTTACACTAATTTAGGAAATATGTTTTTAAAAAGCAATATATATTAATAGCCTAGAGATAGTAGCAGAAAATATTTCACGTAAGTTAGCATTCATGAGAATGTTAGTTTATTATTTTTAAAATATAAATCAAAGAGCTTTGGTGCCATTAATGTTCTTTCCATTAAAATATTCTTTCTGCTCCAACATTTATACTATATTTAGTCTTCTAGTAACTTCCTGAATTTTTTGCATATTAAAATTTCTCATATAGGAATTTATGTATGGTTAAAGAAAATAAAGATTACTCTGTGGAAGCCCTAACTGTAGATTTTAAAACAATAAATGATTATTGCTTGAGGCTATATAGTGTATAAAGCAAATAAAAATGCAAGGTTTAAACTCAAGAATTTCTGAATCTTTACTGTAGGTTCAAAGCAAAAGGAACTGTAGCCTCATAATTTGGTTATCTATTATTTACATTCCAGTTCAACATTCCTGTGGTTTTGCCTTTTTATTTTTCTTTTTACAGATTCTGGTGGTAAATGAAAACCAAAGAAATGGAAGAGTTTTTAAAACTGAACCTAAATACTAAAAGGTGGCAAATCGTAAAACAGCCAAACACCGCAAAAGGATTCAATAAAAGGAAGCATTTTATTCCATGCTTCGCTTTGTTAGCTAGAAGCTACCTTTCACTGTTATCTCAGGGTTTGCTCACAGTTTAGGAAGCTGGGTAGGCAGCTTTCCCAAGAAATGAGAAGAACATGACAGGGCCTGCTCGCTGCTGGAATATAAGCACATCTAGGCTACATTTAGGAGCACAACACTAGAGTCTGCATACATCCTCACCCTGTGGGTGAGGTTCTCACCTCTAAAAAGATCCTTTTTTCTTTTTTCTTTTTTTGAGACGGAGTCTTGCTCTGTCACCCAGGCTGAAGTGCAGTGGTGTGATCTTGGCTCAATGCAACCTCCGCCTCCTGGGTTCAAGTGATTCTCCTGCTTCAGCCTCCCGAGTAGCTGGGATTACAGGCGCCTGCCAGCATGCCCGGCTAATTTTTGTATTTTTAGTAGAGACAGGGTTTTGCCATATTGGCCAGGCTGGTCTCGAACTCCTGACTTCGTGATCTGTCCGCCTCGGCCTCCCAAAGTGCTGAGATTATAAGCGTGAGCCACCGTGCCTGGCAAAAACATCCTTTTAAGTTGTTTTTCTGATTTTCAAAGGTATTGTTCTACTGAATCATTGCATTCTGTGAGTATTCAAAAATTTTAAACCTTATCTTGGTTTAGTTTGTTTTTTATTTATAAGGATGATTGCATAGCTAATTAGCAGACTACCTAGCATATAATGGCATCCATGTGACTTTTTGTTGTTGTTTTGTGGGTTTTTTGAGACAGGGTCTCATTCTGTCACCCAGGCTAGAGTACAGTAGCAATCAGGACTCACTGCAGCCTCAACCTCTCAGGCTTAAGTGATCCTCCCACCTCAGTCTCCCAAGTAGCTGGGACCTCAGGCGTGCATTGCCACCACAAGCAGCTAATTTTTTTTTTTTTTTTTTTTTTTTTTTTTTGTAGAGACAGAGTCTCCCTATGTTGTCCAGGCTGGTCTCAAACTCCTGGGCTCAAGCATCCTCCTGCCTTGGCCTCCCAAAGTGCTGGGACTGCAGGTGTGAGCCACTACACCCAGTCCTAAGTGACTTTTTAAAAGATAAGAGTTACCAACATAATGATTGAAAGCCTAAATCATTATTACTAACAGTTGTTAAGCACTTATTATATGTAAGATACTAAGAGCTTTTACGCATGATTCATTCATTCCATGTATTCCTATTGCCTACCTATTCTAGGTCCTGGAGAACAGCAGTAAGCAAAACAAAATCCCTGCTTTCACAGAGTTTATATTCCAGCAAGGAAACAATCAACAATTAAATAAGTAAAACATAAAGCATGTGTGATTAAAGTAAGTGCTATGGAGAAGAATTAAGTGGAGAAGGGAAAGAGTGACTGTATGTGAAAGGGTCTCATCCAGTAAGTTGACAAAAAAGCAGAGACCTGAAAGAAGTGAGGTGGTCTAAAAGTGGATCTCAGCCTGGGCAACATGGCAAAACCCCGTCTCTACAAAAAAAAATACCAAAAAATTAGCAGGGGGTGGTGGCACTCGCCTGTGGTCTCAGCTACTTGGCGATGGGGGTGAGGGTGCTGAGGTGGGAGGCTTGCTTGGGAGATGCAAGTTGGAGTAAGCAGAGATTGCACTACTGCACTCCGGCCTGGGTGACAGCAAGACCTTTTTTTTTTTTTTTTGGAGACAGAGTTTCACTCTTGTCGTCTAGGCTGAGTGTAATGGTGACATCTTGGCTCACTGCAACCTCTGCCTCCTGGGTTGAAGCGATTCTCCTGACTCAGCCTTCCAAGTAGCTGGGATTACAGGTGTCTGCCACCACGCCCGGCTAATTTTTGTATTTTTAGCAGAGATGGGGTTTCACCACGTTGGCCAGGCTAGTCTCCAACTCCTGACCTCAGGTGATCCTCCTGCCTCAGCCTCCCAAAGTGCTGGGATTACAGACGCGAGCCGCCACACCTGGCCTGAGACCCTTTCACACACACACACACACACACACACACACACACGTAAAATAAAACAGAAAAAAAGAAAAGAGGATCTCTGGCACCACTAAAGAACTTACTTATGTAACCAAATACCAACTGTTCCCCAAAAACTTACGGAAATAAAAAATTTTAAAAAAAAAAAAAGGAAGTGGATGTCTGGGCTGGGTGCAGTGGCTCACGCCTGTAATCCCAGCACTTTGGGAGGCTGAGGTGGGTGGATCACCTGAGGTCAGGAGTTCAAGACCAGCCTGGCCAACATGGCAAAACCTAGTCTTAAAATACAAAAATTACCCAGTGTGGTGGTGCATGCCTGTAGTCCCAGCTACTTGGGAGGCTGAGGCAGGAGAATCACTTGAACCCAGGAGGCAGAGGCTGCAGTGAGCTGAGATCACACCACTGCACTCCCACCTGGGCAACAGAGCGAGGCCCCATCGCAAAAAGAAAAGAAAAGAAAAGGAAGTGGATCTCTGGGGACGCTGAACATATCTAATGTACTACTTATTGTTTAACTTTTATAACAACACTATTGATATGGTTTGACTGTATCCGCACCCAAATCTCATCTTGAATTGTAGTTCCCGTAATCCCCTTGTGTCATGGGAGGGACCCAGTGGGAGGTAATTGACTCATGGGGTGGATGGTTTTATAAGGGACTTCTGCCCCTTTGCTCAGCTTTCATTCTCTCTCCTGCCACCCTGTGAGAAGGTGCCTTCTTGCCATGATTCTAAGTTTCCTGAGGCCTCCCCAGCCTTGAGGAACTGTGAGTCAATTAAACCTCTTTATAAATTACCCAGTCTCATGTAGTTCTTCACAGCAGCGTACAAACAGACTAATACAACTATGTAGTAGATACTTTTATTGCTCCCATTTATAGATAAGAGAATGTACAGAGTTATAAAAATCTAAAAAAACTTGCTTGTGGCCATATACTTACAAGGGGTAAGCTAAGGTTAAAACCTAGATTTTCCTCACTCACAAGCTGTGCTTTTAATCACCTTCCCTCCCCTCAAATCACCTAACAATCCAACAACAAGATTTCTATGTGCCCAATTATTGGTACCTACCCAACAGGATAATCAATTCCAACAACACACTTTAAAAAAATTAATTTGAGAGGAAAAAAGTATCTGAGGTTTGGCTCATTAAAATAAATGAGAAAAATTCCTCTCTAGTCTCCTGGTGAGGAATCTAATTGGAGGCAGAGCTGACATTTTAAGTCATGGCTCTTCAGGTACAAAATAACAAGGAATGCCCCAACTGACCCTGTATGGACAGATACTGAAATTGTCTCTCAAAGCAGCAGATTCTGGTCTGCCAGAAGAGGCCATGAAAAGAGAGAGAGAGAGAGAGAGAGAGAAACAGGAATGTTGCTGGACGTTTCTATCATCACTTACCTTCAGTTCACCCCTCTCTTTTCAATTACATCTCAGCATCATGGTTGGATGTTTCCACCTGGCTACATAAGCAAGCTTTACACAAGGTGTAATTTGCCTAAATAGTGGTCCATTCTATTGGGGTGGGAGCAATTGCTTCCAGGACTCACATCCATATGGCTCCCACTTAGCCATGTGGCCTGCTGACAAAGGGTGGCGGAACTGTCACTACTCTGTTGTCCACGCTTTCAGTCCTTTGGTTTCCTCTTCACTCCCTGGACGCTCATGTAAAAAGGGAGGCCATATACCTGTGCATTGTGTGTCTAAGCATTCAGTGTGTGTCTAAAGGCAGAAGGGTGTGGGTAGGAAAACAAAGACGAGGGAAGCTGCGTTCTCCAAACACTTCAGACTTGAGTAAGTGGGGTTTTGCAGCAATTGAGTGATTTGAGGGAAAGTGAACATACAAACCCAAGCAATCAAAGGGAATATTATCTTAATACCAGGGATACATGTTTTTCTTTCTGCCTCTTAAGTCCAAAGAGGCAAATCAGGACAAGTGGCTTTGGTTGTAAACTTTAAGGTCAAGGATCCTTTCTGTTGAGCTTAGCTCTCAAGTTCTCAGTAGTCAACTGCGGTGAAACATAATTAATAGCACGATAAATACAAGTTGTGGAAGATTCGATTGAAAGTTGGAGGCCCTCTCCGTGGATCTCTCTACAAAGAGCCTGTAATAAAGAGGACTTAATCAACGTTAGCAGGGCTATTTAAAAAGCATCGTCTATTAAAATTCATTTCTTCTCTAGAGCCTCTTGTTGGAGTTTCTCTGTGTGGGTGTGTTCGTAAGAGAGGAATGGGTTAGCAAGAGTACTGGGTACAATTTGTGTATCCAAGAGAAAACAGAAGCTCTCAATGAGGAAGAACATATGTTTCTGGGACTGCATCTGTGCAAAAAGTACATAGTCCTGACGTTGTACTAAGAAAAAAAACACTCTCTTTAGAAAGTCTTTTATTTCACACGTTATCTTCTTGGCACATTTCCCTCATATTGCCCTTTCCGCCTGACCAAATAGCCCTTTCTCACCCTCAGGTCCAGGAAAACCAGGAAACGTTTCCAACAGTGCGACAAAGCCTGACTAACCAGACATACTACTCGCTCGGGGATCCCGGAGGCAAGCCTCAGTCCAAGAACAGGAGTGACTCTCGAGGGCTCACCTGCCTGCAGGGCAGCCCCTCCCTGCATCGAGCGGAAATCCATCCTGTCCAGCGCGGGGCGTGGGCAGAGCGGGGCGCGGCCCCGGCAGGCGGTATCCGCTGGGACTCCGACAACGTGCGCGACCCCAGGCGAACCGCGCCCCTCTCCCCACCTCCCCGCGGGCGGGTACAAGTCTCCAGGTGTCCGCGCGCTCAGCGGGTCCGGCCCGCCCCCGCCCCCGCCCCCGGGCCCGACTGCGCGTGCCCGGCCGGAGCCGCGCCCCCTCCTCAGGGAAGGCCGGGCGTCCGGCCCACGAGGCCGAGCTCCCCCCCGGCCCGGGCCTCTCACCGGCGCGGGGGGCGGGCCAGGGGCGGGGCCGGACTCGAGCGGGGCGGGGCTCGCGCCAGCGCCCCCAGCTCCGTGGCGGCTTCGCCCGCGAGTCCAGAGGCAGGCGAGCAGCTCGGTCGCCCCCACCGGCCCCATGGCAGCCCCCGGCGCCCCAGCTGAGTACGGCTACATCCGGACCGTCCTGGGCCAGCAGATCCTGGGACAACTGGACAGCTCCAGCCTGGCGCTGCCCTCCGAGGCCAAGCTGAAGCTGGCGGGGAGCAGCGGCCGCGGCGGCCAGACAGTCAAGAGCCTGCGGATCCAGGAGCAGGTGCAGCAGACCCTCGCCCGGAAGGGCCGCAGCTCCGTGGGCAACGGTGAGTGGAGCCCGCCGCTCCCCGGCGCCGCCCCCTGCCCCACACCCGGTCACCTCCTCCTATCCCGCCCTCACCCCGCGTGCTGGGAGTGCGGGACCCCGTGTTCTGCCCACCTGTTGCTCGCCGTCTTCGGTATGACCGACTTGCTTGTGGAAAGCACTCTTTTCCATAACCTATTACTCAGCTTTGTCATATAGGTACCTATGTATATTAAATATTGTACATATCTATCAATGTTAACTAACTCACTTCAAGATTTCACCCCTTTCTTTTTCTACTCCGCCGGTCCGCGCCCCTCACTGGTGCGGACTTAATTTGAAGGTTCAGGGAGTCTATAAACACCTTGAGATGCTATGCAGAATTTTTGGTGTGTACGATCTTTTTCTGGGAGAAGGAGCCCTTCAATTTTATTAGATTTGTTAAATAATTAATGACCCCCATAAATATCTTGGGGAAAAAAACCGACAGCACTGGCGCTCCTACAACCTATAAATTGGGATTGTGCTGTCTTATGCAAGTACTTCGGGGCGCTCCACCCTGTGTGGGAGGCGAGTGGTGGATCTAGGGAGTGAAGAAAAGTAGTTAGGAGGCTTTGGTCCAGGGAACAAACACGCCGAGGAGGAGGTAGGGGACTTTGGCCCTGCCGGCAACAGCCGTGCCCGCCTAGCTGCGCTTCCTACCCCCACCAGTGCGGGCGTGATGCAAGTCTGATCCCTCCAAAAAATTAAACCCGAAGGTGAAAGGGGTGTAAGCACACACATGCACACTATGTTCATGATTGATAGACGGGGGAGGTGGAAGGGAAAGAAGATGGCAAGCCACTTGTGAAAATTAGAGATCATGATGTATCCTTTTCTCCCCTGCTGAAGTCAGGTGATGGGATCAACTCAGTGACCCTTGTTTTACTTCTTGTTGCTGTGTATGTGAGTTTGCATTATAAAAGCACTATGTTGGCTTATAGCAAAAAGAAGAGGAAAGAAATTGAGCAATTAAGTTGGAATATCTGTTTCCTGCAACGTTCAGTTGTTTCTGTATGAAGTAACTTGGGCATTGGCGAATGTAGGCTAACCCATTCTAGTTTCTATTAGGAAAACAGAAAAATTCTAACAGGCCAGACCAGAGATTTCAAACAGCAGAGTCTGGGAGGCTGTACTGTGTGTGTAAAAGAATCCTAAAGGATGACGTAGTCAATATTAACATACTTGAAAGGTAAAGAGAAGATGTTCAATGATCGTAGTTAATATAACTGAGTGCATACTATGTGCCAAGAATTGGGCGATGTGGTTTGCATTCATTTGAGATATATATATATATATGTATTTAAAAACTTGTGAGTTAGGTATTTTCATCCTCATTTTACAGATGAGGAAACTAAGCAGTTAAGTAACACTGAAGCTCTAATAGATGGTAAGTGGCAGAGCTGGTATTTAAACTCCCAAACCTGAATTTTAAACTTATCAGTTTTATCATTAAGTTTTAAAATGATTAATACAAAGTGGGATTTGTTAGATGCTAAGCCTCTCCGTGGCCCCCTCCCATTTTTCTTTAAATAAAATTGAGGAAGTTCTGAAAGGCTGGGGAGGTCTAGAAAACACAGAACTGCTGCAATACATGGAGGGAAAGACCTTATATTTATTTAGACTTAGGGGTCTGACTAAAGACTGCGGGATGAGTGAGGCCAGTCTTTGAAAAGTGGAGCCATTACACCCATTCATTCTCTGTGCCCATAGGTCCAGTGCTAAACTGAAACCAAATCAGCTTCCCCTGCGTAGGAGACACAGGAGGCATATTAGATATTCTTTCTTATCCTCTGAGAATGGCCAGCTAGGAAGAGAGCAAGCAGATACAACTCTTCCATAAATGGAGGGAATGGAGCCATGAACAGAAGAAAAGGGAATGTTGCTGAGCATCTACTATGTGCCTATTCCAGAATCTTCATTATATTCTTGAAACAATTGCTGAGATAGATATGAGAATCCATCTCACATATGAAGTATGTGTCTGTCAGCAATGGTTGGAAATTTAATCCCAACTCCACACATAATCTGTTCTTTCTACAAAGTAATGCATCACCTGTGTGATGAATTCAGCAAGCATCAAATGAGTATGTTCTTCATGCCGGGCGCTGTGCAGGTGCTGAATTAAACACAAAGACTCTGCTTGCTTTAAAGCAAAAAGTTTGAAGAAGGAAGCCAACCGCTAGAAAAATACATTACCAAATAAAAAGTAGTAAGTGACCCAAAAGAATGGCTAATATATTATGGAGTTTAGAAGTGTAAATTGGCTGGGCGCAGTGACTCATGCCTGTAATTGCAGCACTTTGGGAGGCCGAGGCGGGAGGATCACCTGAGGTCGGGAGTTTGAGACCAGCCTGACCAACATGGTAAAATCCCATCTCTACTAAAAATACAAAATTAGCCGGGCGTGGTGGCACATGCCGGTAATCCCAGCTACTCAGCTACTCGGAAGGCTGAGGCAGGAGAATCGCTTGAACCCGGGAGGTAGAAGTTGCAGTGAGCGGAGATCTCGCCATTGCACTCCAGCCTGAGCAACAAGAGCGAAACGCCATCTCAAAAAAAAAAAAAAAAAAAAAAAAAGTAAGTTACTCCTGGTGGCAGGAAATTTTGAAAAGCTTCCTGGAGGTAGATCTCAAAAATTCAGTAGGACTGGACATAGGGAGGTGACTGGAGAAAGATCATTCTAGGAGGGAACAGAATGAATATTTCACAGTTCACAGAGTTGATATGGTAGAACAAAGGGCACTATCTTGGTCCTTCTGCTATAATGCTTGGGTCAACTACTTGACTGGCTGTTCCAACTAAGGAACAAAGCGTTTGAAATATTTTGATTGCAACAGCAGCTTTCCAGTAAGCTGAAATACACTCTGCAGCCTACACAGAAGTACAAATCAGACAGAGAGATAAGGCAGCAAACAACACCTACTTACTTTAAAGCCTCAGCTTTCTAAGACTCAAAAAGGAAATCAGCTTCAAAGGAATTTAACATTAGCATGCCATGAAACAATTACCAGGGGTGGTTCGTATGTATTGTTTAATTAAACTTCTTTGAAAAGGTCTGGGGGCTCGTGGTGGTTCTGAGTATAATTTTTATTATTTCCATGTTACTATCCTGTCTCTCAAGTTGAAACAGACAAGCAATTGTTGAAACAGTGCTGGTCTGGAAAAAATCCTGTATCAACACAAGAAATTCCAGGAAGAAAAGACCCTGATGTTAACTGCTATTAGCTCCAGGGCCCTGGAGAATTCTGAGTTGTTGACAAACCTGTAAGGTTGAGACAGCGGATAACCTGCTGAAAGCAGAGATGAGATAAATGTGGCTGATTTGTTGATAAGTATCTTGCAAGAGTCTTTAACCCTTTGTCTTCTTTCCAATGCCTTAGTATAGCTGGGTGGTTTTCATTGTAAATCACTCAGTGACTTTTGGTGTTATTTTTAACTGTGCTGAACATTTTAAAGTTGGCTGTAACTCTTTGGGAAGGGGCCTTCAGAGGTGTATAGCAGCATTGTGAAGTAAGTCTGTATTGTAGCTAATAGTTAAAATATTTTTCTAAAATAGAAGACATTTAAGAATTGCAAGTATTGGCAAAGGGAAAAATTAAAAGCATCCATATCCTATTTATTACACTTGCCTTAAAAGTACTACTTGCTACACAGTTCTCCCCCCCCCCCCGCCCCCACCCCAGGTATCTGAGTGGAGAGAAAATTGTGTTTTAAATTGTATTTACTACTTATAAAGGACAGTGAACAATCTCCTAATGCAATTATATTTACAACCTCTTTGGAAATCCACCACAAAACTTGAGGCACACTATTATCTTAGGTGATTTCCTTGGTGAAGCTGCTTTTCAATATCTGTGATCAAAGTGAATTCTGGGCTGGGCGCAGTGACTCATGCCTGTAGTCTCACCATTTTAGGAGGCCGAGACGGGTGGATTACCTGAGGTCAGGAGTTTGAGATCAGCCTGGCCAACATGGTGAAACCCTGTGTCTACTAAAAATAAAAAACAAATTAGCCAGGTGTGGTGGTGCATACCTGTAATCCCAGCTACTAGGGAGCCTGAGGCAGGAGAATTGCTTGAACCTGGGAGTCAGAGGTTTCAGTGAGCCAAGATCATGCCACTGCCTCCAGCCTGGGCGATGGAGTGAGACTCCATCTCAAAAAAAAAAAAAAAAGTGAATTCTGGAGAGAGAATTGAAAATTGGCTCAGGGTAGCAAAAGAAAGGTAGTTACTAGGCGCTACTGTTAAAAAAAAGTTAGACATTGTTCAAATTCTGCATAAATTCTTCCTTTGACAAAAAGGAATCCCAGGAATGAAGCAATTCTGGGGAGCAAGGTGACTAATCGTTCAGAAAGTAGGAGGGATCAGGAAAGGGAAAAAAAAGAGTGAGATGGCGGGTGGCAGGGTCATGGCCCTCTGCTCTGAATGTGAGGTGTCAGTAGCACACTGGATTAAATGCACCTCTGTGTCTGTGTAATATGGCCTGTGAGCCACTTTTTGTCCAGGGCCAAGCAGATTGAGTTCGGTAAGTCCAAAAATAATTAAAGAAATCCTTCTGATTATAGTAAGTGAAATAGAATGTTAACAAAATGGTAGTTAACAACAACAACAAAAAAAACTTCACACCCCTGGAAATGTTGAGAACACATCTCTTAGGGGTGAAGTTTTGTGTGAGGGTAAAGTAAGGATGCTTCAGAATCCGTGGAACTGTAAGAAACCACAAGTAGACCCAGAGTAGCAGGGTTTGATTATGAAAGTACATTGTTCTATATGTGACAGATAAGACGCAGGAAATTACCTTAAAGGAAGGAAGACTGTTCATTTAGGCTTTTAAAAGACTGTTGTTATCTGTATGCCCTGTGCTAAGAGTTCCACAGTCATGGGAACAGAGGGTAGCTTTTGTATTAAATATTCTAGGTATTTGTAGTTCACATTTCCTCAAAGTTTTAGATAGCAACTTTACAGTTTTTTCTCATTTATTAAAATAAGCCTATACATAGTTACATTATTTTATCTTCACATTTTAACATTGATTTTACCCTACAATTGAATTCCTAGTCTGATCAATACAAATTATTAAAAGTTTTGATTTTTTTTCTCTGAGAGAACAAGCATATTATTGGCAAACTATGATAGTAATGAAATATAATAAATATGATGCTAAAACCTCTGGAGTTTATAAATCAGATGATTAATATGGCCTATAAGATGATTTATTTCCATCTCAGATGACATTCAACAAGTTTAAATTATACAATTCTGAGACAAATGTTGGACTTCAGGTATCTTGTGCATGTCTACAAATATATGAAGATAAATACCCTACTTCTCCTGAGGAAGTAAATTAGCAGTAAAAGGCAGCAATGCAAGTGGGAATAGACAATAAATTAGGAGAAAACTTTATTTTTCTATTAGAGTGAGCCACCTGGCTCCCCTGACTAGTAGAGTAAGACTACTAAACAAACTATCAAGTGCTCTCATAATAAAAACATTAAAAACCTGTTGTGTGTCTTTTCTTTTCTTTTTTTTTTTTTTTTGTTTCGCTCTTGTTGCCCAGGCTGGAGTGCGGTGGTACGATCTCGGCTCACTGCAACCTCTGCCTCCCGAGTTCAAGCGATTTTCCTGCCTCAGCCTCCCGAGTAGCTGGGATTACAGGCACCCGCCACCAAGCCCAGCTAATTTTTTGTATTTTTAGTAGAGACAGGGTTTCACCATGTTGGCCAGGATGGTCTCGAACTCCTGACCTCAGGTGATCCGCCCACCTCTGCCTCCCAAAGTGCTGGGATCTCAGGCGTGAGCCACCGCACCCGGCCTGTGTATCTTTTCTATAATGCCATTTCTGGTAATTGGATATTGGACATAAAAACAGTTGTAATGTTCTTAAAGTGTTTAAAGACAAAAGCTTGAGAGCTCAATATGTAGATTTAAATAAAAATGGACAGTTGGAAAAAAAGAAACTTAAGCATTTGAAAACACAACCTGCCATTACTATTAAAATAATTCACATATTTATATTCTTGGAATAATCAGCTTTAGACTTAATAACATTCGTTAACCTAAGCAGTCATAATCAAAGTTCTGCAATTCCTTGATTTCCAGAATTTGTGGATGAAAACCTTCATTAGAAGCTTAATGGATTATTTTTTCTGAATCTCTCAGTAAGCTATTTATGGGGTGGGTGTGGGTGAGCATCAAGCTTATTGGATCTTGATTACTCTTTTTCATTGAAGAATGAAAACAAATGGGAACTTTTCTTGACAGATAATATGAATTTATAGGCCACCAAAATATTACAGATAAATACACAAGCCATACAGATAAAAGAATGATAGTAAACATATATTATTCAAATATAGAAACAACCTTGCCAAAATGAACAAAGTCAGCTTTTCTTTTTTTTTTTTTTTTTTTTTTTGAGATGGAGTCTCGCTCTATGCCCAGGCTGGAGTGCGGTGGCACAATCTCGGCTCACTGCAACCTCCGTCTCCTCGGGTTCAAGCGATTCTCCTGCCTCAGCCTCTCAAGTAAGTGGGATTACAGGTGTGTGCCACCACACCCGGCTAATTTTTGTATTTTTAGTAGAGATGGAGTTTCACCATGTTAGCCAGGATGGTCTCGATCTCCTGACCGATCCACCCGCCTCGGCCTCCCAAAGTGCTGGGATTACAGGCATGAGCCACTGCACCTGGCCCAAAGTCTGCTTTTCTAATAAAAGTCTGCCTACATTCTGGGGAAGCAACTTTCCTTCCTCTCCGTATACCCAGAATGACAGAGAACAGTCGAAACTATTTGAGCACCTTCCATCTACCCCAAGACAAAAGCATGTATGTGACTATCATACTCACATTTTAGTTCCATTCTGGTGAGCCACAGAATACATACCTGCCTGAATGATTAAGCGCAAACTGAATTTGTGTAACTAGGATATTTCTAATGTACAGGTAATCTGACTAATCAACAATTAACTTGTCAAGTACTGATACAAGACTGTGCTAGAAGTGGTAGTGTAAGATACAGTTCTTTCTGTCAAAATCTCTTTGGAAGAGAAAATAACCTCTTTGTTTTAACGTGGCCCCACTCCAATCCATTCTCCACACAGCTGCTAGAGTGAACTTTCTAAAATCTCATTGCATCATTTCCCAGTTTAAATTCCTTCAGTTTCTTACTGTTATCTGCAAGAGTAAAATTATTGAACACAGCATTCCAAGTTCTTCGTGATCTAATGCCTGCAACTTCTCAAACTTCATCCCTGGGGCCACTACCCTTGCTCCCCACCAAACACACACAGGCAGTTTATCTTGCTTGGTATTTCTACCCCTCCTTGTCTCCCTCCCTTCCTTCTCTTGCCCAGTTAACTTAGTTCAGTTGTGTCCCTTATAGGCAGCCTCCTTCACCCCTCTCCTCTGATCTTGAATGCAAGTTAAAGAATTTGATAATTGTGAGTCACAGATATTTCCACAGGGAAGAAACATGAAAAGTGCAGGAGTTTTGTGAAAATACATTTGACAGATTTGGTGGATTTAAAGTAGGAACAGACCTAGCATGGTGGCTCTTTCCTGTAATCCCAGCACTTTGAGAGGCCGAGACAGGAGAATCGCCTGAGGCCAGGAGTTCAAGGCTGCAGTGAGCTCTGAATGCACCACTGCACGCCAGCCTGGGCAACAGAGTGACCCTGTCTCAAAAAAAAAAAAAAAAGAGGCCGGGCGCAGTGGCTCACGCCTGTAATCCCAGCACTTTGGGAGGCTGAGGCGGGTGGATCATCTGAGGTCGGGAGTTTGAGACTAGCCTGATCAACATGGAGAAACCCTGTCTCTACTAAAAGTACAGAAAAAATAAGCTGGGCGTGGTGGCGCATGCCTGTAATCCCAGCTACTTGGGAGGCTGAGGCAGGAGAATCACTTGAACCCGGGAAGTGGAGGTTGCGGTGAGCCGAGATCGTGCCATTGCACTCCAGCCTGGGCAACAAGAGTGAAAATCTGTCTCAAAAAAAAAAAAAGAAAAAGAAAAGTTGGGTTAGCAGTTATGAATCAGTTGGGAGGGGTTAACCCTGGCACGTGAGAGGCAGGGGAAATATAATGACTTGAAAGTCATTACAAAGAAAACCTGTAGTAAGTATTTTAAAGCAAAAAATAATTTGTGAGTTCTATAAATTCACCTTTTTTTATATTATTGGGAGTATAATGTGATATTTGCCATGGAAGTTATAAAGTCTTACAAGTCTTAAAGTCTCATGAGATATCTCAGCAAATAATTGGCAGGAATGCCAAAGTAAAGACACAGTTACAGAAATGAACAGTGTATTCATTCATTCATTCATGAGACAGCGTCTGTCTCTGTTGCCCAGGCTGGAGTGCATCTTGGCTCACTGCAACCTCTGCCCCCCGGGCTCAAGCCATTCTCTCACCTCAGCCTCCTGAGTAGTTGGGACTACAGGTGTACGCCACCACACCCAGCTAATTTTTGTATTTTTTTTGTACAGATGGGGTTTTGCCTTTTTGCCCAGGCTGGTCTCAAATTCCTGGACTCAAGTGATCTGCCCACCTTGACCTCCCAAAGTGCTGGGATTACAGGCATGAGCCACCGTGCCTGGCTGAGAAATGAACAGATTTAGATACTTCCAGGATATTTCTATTTAATACTTCACCAGGATGCTAAATTACCAGTTTATAATAACAAATTCTACAATTACATATTCTAATACCTCAAACAAAATATGACATGAACACCTGTGATATAAAAGGGCCATTTAATGGCTCACGCCTAAAGCGCTGGCACTTTGGGAGCCCGAGGCGGGTAGAACTCTTGAGGCCAGGAGTTTGAGGCCAGCCTGGCCAACATGGCAAAACCCCATCTCTACTAAAAATACAAAAATTAGTCAGCATGGTGGCACACACCTGTAGTCCAGCTACTCGGAAGGCTGAGGCACAAGAATCGCTTGATCCTGAGAGGAAGAGGTTTCAGTGAGCCAAGATCGCACCGCTGCACTTCAGCCTGGGCGACAGAGCAAGACTCCATCTCAATAAAAAAAGTGGGAGGGGGACATTTAAAATGTGTTTTTGTCATTACCTAGAGCAGTGATTTGAGGATTGCCCCCCAAATGTCATAAATTGGTATATCAGAAGATAGCTCTTGAATTGCTTAGGGGGCTCCTGAAAAATAAGGACTCTAGTGGCTGGTATATCGTGTGAGTGATAACAGCAATGGATTAGTCAGTCGCACACTGGCATGTGGTATGTGTGGCCCACTCTTGCAGGAGAGCTGTTCTGTCCCTGGCATATTCAACGTTTTAAGAACTCATAGCCAGTACTTTCTAGCATATACCTGATACACCAAGTTGTTTCTCATGGTTGATTATGTGAGCTAACTGGTCACAAAATATAGCACTGTACAACTATTGGTTAAATTTTCAATAGTATAAAACTTT